>NC_000002.12:27826371-27979122 GCF_000001405.40 Homo sapiens | reverse complement strand
CCAGGGGGTGGAGGTTGCAGTGAGCCGAGATTGTGCCGCTGCACTCCAGCCTGGGCAACAGAGTAAGACTCCATCTCAAAAAAAAAAAAAGAAAAAAAGAAAATGTGGTACATATACACCATGGAATACTACACAGCCATAAAAAAGAATGAGATCATGTCCTTTGCAGCAATATGGATGTAGCTGGAGGCTATTATCCTACCAAACTAACCAGGAACAGAAAGCCAAATACCACATGTTCTCACTTGTAAGTGGAAGCTAAACATTGGAGTATACATGGACACAAAGAGGGGAATAATAGACACTGGGGCCTACTTGAGGGTGGAGGGTGAGAGGAGGGTGATGGTCAAAAACCTACCAATCGGGTACTTTGCTCACTATCTAGGTGACTAAATCTTTTGTACACCAAACCCCAGTGATATGCAATTTACCCACGTAACAAACCTGCACATGTAACCCCAGAACCTAAAATGAAACTTGAAAAAGAAAAAAAGAAAAAGGTAAATGACTGGTTTTCTGCCAATGATAGATTATTCTTATCAGTTGCTGCATTAAATGATTACTGACTGAAACTCCAAGTATGGAAGTGAGAGTCAGACAAGAACTTTGTGGAAACGCCAGTTTGAAGGAGATAGTCTCAACAAAAAGTAAGTTCAAGCAATAGAGTTTGTGTCCGTCCATTTTTGCATCACTATAAAGAACTAACCGAGGACTGGATAATTTATAAAAAGAGGTTTAATTGGCTCACAGTTCTGCAGGCTGTACAGGAAGCATGGTGCCAGCATCTGCTTCTGGCAAAGACCTCAGCAAGCTTACAATCATGGCAGGAGGTGAAGGGAGAGCAGGCACATCACAAGATGAGAGTGGCAGTGAGAGCAAGAGGAGGTGCCACGCTCTTTTAAACAACCAGATCTCACATGAAGTCAGAGCAAGAACTCTTTCATTATCACAAGGACAGCACCACACCATTCATGAGGGATCCACCCCCATGACCCAAACACTTCCCACTAGGCTCACCTCCAACACTGGAGGTCACATTTCAACATGATATTTGGAGGTGACACATATCCAAACCATTTCAGAGCTTTACGAAAAACTTTGAAGAGGTGACTCATTTCCAAGAGTTAGCTCTAACCCTTAGTGTGTCCTTACACTGAAATTTAATATCTCTCTGAAAATTCCATTTGCTGGTTCTGAGAACTTTATGGGACAAGTTTAATTTATCTGTAATATCACAGCCCTTCAATTATTTGAAGGCAGTTCTCGTGACCTATCTTTCAACCCCACTAGGAGTCACCTCTTAGACAGGCTTACTATCCCAGTCTCCTTCACTATTCCTCATCTGACTTGTTTCAATTTCCTTCATCATTTGGCTCTCTCCTCTCTGAATATGTACCAGTTTGTCTATAGCTCTCTTAGAGGATAACACCCAGATCTCAAGATAAGATTCTAGGTGTGTTCTAAAGAGCACAGAAACAAATACAAAAATCCATGCCTTAATTTATGTATTAAACTTCTATTGATAAATGGCATTGTAAGTTAAAATAGCTTTTTTGGCAGCCTCATCAGTAGTGACTCCTATTATGCTTCTTATTAACTAAAAGCCCTAACATTTTTATGTATTTACCACTGCTAAGCTACATATCCCTCTTCTTAACTGGGACAACTAAATTTTAGAATCCATTTTGAAATTTTAAATTTATCTGTATTATATTTCAGTATCGCTAGATTTACCTATTTAAAGTCCATCATGATATTCTTAGATTCTACTCCAATTTTGGGTTGGCACTCCTAACTTCAAATTATAAACATACTGGCTAGGCATCCTTCTGGAAACCTCCCTTTATGACAATTTATAAACAATAAACAATCTTGGGTGCAATAATTTAAACAATAATGTCTAACCAATAATAATATGAACTTAAACATTCATCACAAGTTTGTCAAGGAACTTGTCAACTGCCTCAGCAATGTAGGCTGTTGTGCCTACAAATGCAAGGATGCCACTAATTATTCCATTGCACAGCATTCTTTTCATCTTGAGTGGTAGAGTTTAATTTCCAATATCAAGGAAAAAGACTCTAAGGAATTACTACATCTGAGAGTTGGCATATTTACATGAATTAGGCTCTCAAACAAAATCTGTAGAACAAAGGATGGAAGTAGGGGGCAGAGGCTAAACTTAGGTCATTTAAATTTGCCTCCTCTTCTTAGAAGACTTCCTTCTGCCATATCCCTCTCCTAGACTTCGGACCACACCTAATCCTTCTTTGCACTTCTAATATCTGAAGCAGTGCTATGTAATAGAAATAATAATGCAAGCCACATACATAATTTTAAACTTACCAGTAGCCACATTCAAACAGTAAAAAGAAAAAAGGTGACATAAAAATTATAAACTATTTTTTAACTTTATACACAGTAAAATTCATCTTTTTCTGTACACCTATAAGAGTTGTATAACATGCAGAGATTTGTGTAAACATCACCAAAATTAGGATACAGAACAATTCTATCACTCTCCAATATGTCTTCATGCTATCCCTGTGTATTTAAATATTCCGACCATTCCTTATTCCTGGAAACCTCTGACCTGCTCTTGGCCCCTTCAGTTTTGCATTTTTCCAGAATGCCATATAAATGGAATCATGCAGTATGTAACCTTTTGAGACCAGCTTCTTCTTTCACTTAGCATAAGGCATTTGAGACTCAAATTGCTGCATGTATCAATAGCTTGCTCCTTTTTTATAGCCTACTAGTATATTCCATTGTACAGATGTACCATAGTTTGTATATCCATCTACCCAATGAAAGACATGTAGGTGATTTCCAGTTTGTGATGATTATGAATGATGCTGCTACAAACATATATGTACATGTTTTGCGTGAATGTACATTTATCATTTCTAGATAAATGTTTAAGACTGGATTGCTAGGTCATATGATGAAGTGTATCTTTAACCATAAAACAAACTGCCAACCTTTTTTCCTGAGTGACTATTACATTTAGCAAACCAACAACGCATGAGAGTTCCAGTTTCTACACATTCGTGCCAACATTTAATATGGTCAATTTTGTTATTATTGTCATTGATTTTAGTCATTCTAACAGGTACATCATGGCATCTCATAATGATTTTAATCTGCATTTTCCTAATGACTAATAAAGTTGAGCATCTTTTCATGTGTTTATTTGCTACCTGTATATATTCCTTGGTGGAGTATCTGTTCAGATCTGTTCCCCATTTTTTTTATTGTTGTTGGTTTTCTTAATGTTGACTTTTGAAAGCTACATATTCTTGAAATTTGTTCTCTGTTAGATACATGATTTGCAAATATTTTCTCTTACTGCTTCTTGTCCTCCTCTTCCTCTTAACAGTCTCTTCAGCAGAGCAAAAGTTTTAAGCTTCAGTGAAATCCAATTTATCAACTTTTTTCTTTTATGGATTATGTTTCTACTGTTGTATCTAACTCAATGCCCAGCCCAAGTCACAAAGCCTTCCTTCTATGGTTACTTCTTGGATTTTTATGGTTTGAAATTTTCCATTTAAGAATGTGATTCACCAATTTTTGAACATGGTTTGAAATATAAGTCAAGGTCCTTTTTTTTGCATGTAGATGTCTACTTGCTGAGAAGACTCCTTTTGCCATTGAAGTGCCTTTGCGTTTTTGTGGAAAATCATTGACCATATTTATATGGATCTATTATTGGACTATTTTGTTCTATTGATCTATGGCTCTTCTTTTGCCAATATCACACTGCCTTGATAATAAGTCTTCAAACTGAGTAGTCTGACTCCTCCATTTTTATTGTTCTTTTCCAAAATTGTTTTGGCTATTTTAATTCTTTGCTTCCCACGTAAATTTTAAAATCATCTTGTCAATATCTACCCAATCCTGCTGGGATTTTGATGGGGATTACACTAAATAGTGTACATTAATTTAGGGAAAATTGACTTAGGAAACTAATTAAAACTAATTAGGGAAAACATCTTAACTATGTTGAGTCTTCCCATCCTTGAATATATTATATATCTCTGTATTTATTGAGGTCTTCTTCAATTCCTTTATCTACATATAGATACTGAACATACCTTATTAGATTTATAACTAAGCATTTTTTTGGCAGGAAGGTATTATAATTGGTACTATTTTTTAACTTTCTGTTTCTGATTGTTCATTGCTAGTATAAAGAAATAGGATTGATTTTCCTATGCTGATCTTACATCCTGTAACCTTAAAAAACTCGTAAGTTCTAGGATTTTTTGAATATGCGTTGGGATTTTCTACATAGACAATCATTATACGCAAATTAGGTAGATTTATCTCTTCCTTTCCAATCCATATGCCTTTTATTTCTTTTTCTTGACTTCCTGCAACTTCCAGTACTATGTTATATAGGATTTGGGAAAGTGAACATCTTTGCCTCATTCTCAGTCTTAGAAGAAAAGCATTCAGTCTTTCACCATGTATGATATTAAGCTGTAGGTTCTGGGTAGATGTCCTTTATAAGTTTGAGGCTGAGGAAATTCCCTTTTATTCCTATTTAGCTAAGAGTATTTATTATGAACAGATTTTAAATTTTAGTTTTTTCTGCATCCATTGATATGATCATACAGTTTATCTTGTATTAGTCTGTTAATATGGAGACTTGCATAGACTGATTTTCAAATGTTGAACTTGGCTTTCATTCCCAGAATAAAACCTGCTTGATTATGATATATTATTTTACTTGTATACATACATAGATAATGTATGTTGTATACATATATATGTATGTATTTTATATATGTTGCTAAATTCAATTTGCTAATTTTTTTCGAAAGTTTTACTTCTTTGTTCAAATGAGGGATACTGGCCTATAGTTTGTTTGTTTGTTTTCTTCTACTTTCTTTGACTGATTTTGATATCAGAAAAATGTCAGCCTCATAAAGTAAGATAGAAACTGTTGTATCCTTTTCAATTTCTGGATGATACTGCATAAAATTGGTGACTTTTTGTCTTAAATGTTTGGTAGAATTCACCCAAGATAATCTGGGTCTGGCATTTCATTTGTGAAAGATTTTTTTTTAACTATAAATTCAATTTATTTAACAGATATAGGATTAATCAGATAATCTATTTCTTTCTGAGTGAATCTTGATAGTTTATCTCTTTCAAGGAATGTGTTCATTTCACTTAATTGCCAAATGAATTGGCATAAAGTTAGGTTCAGAGTGAAAGCACTAAACCATCTTCTGTGGACTTGATTCATCAGAATAGTTTTCAAAGCCTTTAAATGTTACTCTGGTTTTCCCAAAGTACGCACCACCCAGAGGCTAGTCTGGGCACTGTTCTATGCTGTAGCTCAGTTCTCAAAGACTTTGCTATACTGATTCTGTCCGGTTCCATGTGTGAAGCTCAAGGATAAGCCTGAGACTTCACACACAGATTAAAGGATCCTTTTCTCCAGCCCCTCTTCTCTGTGATTTCCCCCGTACTCTGCCTCCCAGTGGCACCTTTTCTTGGTACTCTGGCTTGAAACTGGGAGTTTTTCCCTCCCCATGTTTTTATATACTTTCCATTACTGTGTCAATCTGGAGAAGAAACCCCAAAAGAAAAGAGTCTAAGAGGCTACTGCAAGAGTCCTGTTTCATCACTAGAGCTTGCCTGCCTTAGGGACAGAAGAGTTGGTGGGGAAAAAAAAAAAAAAGATTACATCCTGAAGAGTCCCCCTTTCTATGTCTTTGACCTGGGAGAGGGTTTTCATTGGAGAATTTTCTGTCCTTGCCCAGTGCATAGTGCCAGGGTCCAGGATGTCCTAGGATCCAAACCAGGAGATATGGAAAGAAAAGATAAACAAATTTTTTAAAACACAAGAAAATGACCTCCATATGGGTTAATCTTTGAGTTTTTAATTCTTCTTAGTATGTCTGATAATTACTTTTCAGAGTCCTCAAGCAGTTCCTATATGTATTCTTTAGGTACTATGGTTTTAAATTATAACCAATGAGAGAGATAGGGTGCAGGGTTTACTCATTTTTACCGAGAACTGGTAATTAAAGCTAATAATTACGACCAGGCACGGTGGCTCATGACTGTAATCCTAGCACTTTGGGAGGCCGAGGCGGGCGGATCATCTGAGGTCAGGAGTTCAAAACCAGCCTGGCCAACATGATGAAATCCCATCTCTACTAAAAAATACAAAAATCATCCAGGTGTGGGGGTGCGCGCCTGTAGTCCCAGCTACTCGGAAGGCTGAGACAGGAGAATCACTTGAACCTGGGAGGTGGAGGTTACAGTGAGTCGAGATCGAGCCACTGCACTCCAGCCTGGCGACAGCACAAGACTCCATCAAAAAAAAAAAAAAGCTAATAATTAAAATAATAATAAATTAAAGTTATGTAACCTTTATATTTTATTTAGCCAAGATATACAAAATAACACCATTTCAACATGTCATCAATATAAAAGTTATCAGTGAGATATTTTATATTTTTAAATATAAACTTTAGCATCTGATGTGTATTTCACACTTAACAGCACATCTCAATTCAGACTAGCCACATTTCAAAGACTCCATCACCACATGTGGCTAGCAGCGACTATATTGGACAGCACAGATCTACAGGAAACACTGATTAGGAAAGAAGGAAACAAAGGGAATGAAGGGAAGGTAAGAAAGGTCACTTAATTTTCCATGACTATCTCCATGTAAAATGTCCTCCCTGCCTCATTAGATACCACACTCTGTTCCTTGGCAGTTATTACCCGTTGAAAAAAGTTCTTTCTTATATTGAAACAGAAAATATAGCTACAAATCACTTTTACCCACTAACACTAGTTCTACCCTAAGCATTATTCTACACGATAGTCCCCAAACCATCTGCAGATGACTGTCAGGTCTTCTTTTAATCTTCTCTTCTCCAGGTTAAATATGCCTAGTTCTTTCAGTGGTTAATAATAAGACAATTTTCAGGAAATTAAGCTACGTGATTCTTATGTGTATCAGAGATAATATACATGTTGTTGATTCTTAGAAAATTAGACTAATTCAGAAAGGGGTATTGTCCATCTTCAGATGTAATATGTTTTAAATGAACTTTTAACCTTGTATTTTTGTTATACTTATTTCGGTGCATAAAACAACAATATTTTAAGCCAAATGCTATAAATTAGCATTACTTTATTGAGCAATAAATATTCTACTGCAGAAAATTTTAGTCTTAGTGATCTTCTAATGCATATTCACAAACTGTTTCATTACTGCAATTTGTTATCAACTCTTTAATAACTACAATGCAAGTGACACTATAAAAAAGAAAGTAAGCTTTTTCAACCTTTCTATGATTGTTGTAGTTTTAAAAAGTAGTTCAGAATTAAATATAATTTTAAAACAAATCAGTAATGATCCTTGTCATGAAATAGTAAAACATTGAAAAAAAAAAACACATGGGAAAATTTAGCAAGTAAGCTTGATTTTTACATACCCATATACACATTCACACACCCTTGATTTAGGTGTAGCTCCTAGAACACTATGTATTTACATTTATTTTTCTTTTAATGAAATATCGTAGTGAGATGGATGTTGTAAAGTTGGTTTAAACATACAGAATAAGTAGCTTTGTATTTACTGATAAGAAAAAGAGACATTGCCATTTGGAGGAAACGATGAAAAACCCTGAGATGTGAAGCAATAGGAAAAAAACAGTAATGAATTATTCTATACTTGAACAAGCTTAAGAAAAAGAACATGTGACTGTAAAGATTTTGGTTAAACTGGCAGGATAAATCAAGATGTTTTCTCATTCTCTAAAGATAAAATTTTCATTTATTAATTCATTCAATCCCTCAATAAACATATACATTATGTTAAGTACTATCACTGACAGAAAAAGAGTTAGGAGATTCTGCCCCAATAAAGCTTGTAGTATTGATTCAAGATACTAAAAACACTGGGCAAAATGTTTTTCAGAACAGGATACAGTCCCAAAGTGTCACTTCACAGATCACTAATTCATTATAATTGAGAAAAGGTATCTTTATAATGAGAAAAACTGGTAGACACCAACTTAATTTAAACAAGTGGTCAAGCAGCAGCAACAATGGAAGAAACATATCATGGGCCTTGTGGTAACTGCACTGAGAAGTATATAACATCACTTATTTTAAAAGCTTGACAAATATGTTTAAACTGAATACAGCCATGAAGAGAAAATCAGATAAACCAAACTGTGGGATATGTTACAAAACAACAGCCCCAGACTCTTCAAAATCATTAATCATTAATGTCATGAATAACCAAAAACAAAAAGAAAAGGGTAAGAGAATTGTTCTAGATTAAAGAAAAAAATTTAAAACATTTTTTAAGTGTGACCAGTAAACATAATGAATGATCTTTCACTGGATCACAGATCTGGGGAAAAAAAAGCTAAAAGGATATTAATGGACAACTGGGTATATATAAATATGGACCACACATAAGATGCTACTGTAACCATGTTACATTTCTTGAGTACGATCATGGCATTGAGATTCTATAGGAGAAAAATGTTCTTTTCTTGGGAGATATGTAGTGAAGTACTTAGGGGTGAAGTATGAAAATATTTGCAACTTACTTTAAAATGACTCAAAGATTTAGAGATAGATACTGTAAACTATATATCTATATCAGCATACACATATACATGTGAGTAGAGAGAGACTTCTAAAACATGGCAAAATGTTAACAACTGATAGATTAAATAAAGGGTTGACAGATGCTCATAGTACAATTTGTTCCAATTTTTAAAAGGCAGATGTTATCCTTTAAAATAACAATTTGAGAGAAAAATATAACACAAAGTAAAAATGTATTAGCATCACAAGAAATGAACAAATAACACACCATGCAAATTCTGAAAATACAGGAATTAGTCAGGATCTAACAGATGACTTCATTGAAGAAGTGGCACTGGGACTGGGAATTAGACAATAAAACTCTAAAAAAGTTAAAAATACATTAATATATTCCTTTATAAAAAGTGAAAAAATATAGCATATAGACTATATACCAAAAAAATTAAAGAATAAAAAGGATTTGGAAATGAGGATACAAAGGGAACATCATGAGCAAAAGCAGAGTAGCAAGAAACTCAGGGTGTACCTGAGAAGTGTAGCAGATGCCATGGTGACCCACCATACTCCCTTCGTCCTCCCACCCAGAGGTCACCTGCAGCTCTGAATTCCTGTAAAACAGAGTTTCTAAGCCATGGGACTACTGACATTTGGGGATGGATAACTCTTTGCTGTAGGGGGCAACCATATCAACTGCGGTATATTAAGCAGCATCCCTGGTCTCTACCCACTAGATGCCAGCCAGTAGCACTTTTTCCCTCCCCCAGTTGTCACTACCAAAAATGTCCACAGAATTTACCAAATGCTCCTTGCAGAGCAAAATAACCTCCTCCCCCGTCCCGAGCCCCAACCTCAGTTTGAGAAAGAACCACTGCCAGAAATCGTGGCCATCCAGCTCCAGTAACTGCATCTGTCTGCATAAGGGCATTACCTGGCCTAGAAGGTAGCTTGGCCAGTATATAAAAAGGCTGGACTACTTGGAAGTGAATGACACTAAGAATGAAGGATGAGGGTGGATGTGTAAACAACTTCCTTGCCCTTCCCTGGCACAATACTGAAGTGACTTTCACATAGCTGGGGGGTTGTGAGTGAAATTTAACCCCACTTAACAACAGCAATAACCTACTCTTCAATGCACCCTATTTTGGCTTTTCTCCCTCTCTTTCTCTTCCCCACCCCCTCACTGTGCTTCCAGAGATCACCTCCTATATTAGTCCGTTTTCATGCTGCTGATAAAGACATACCCAAGATTGGGCAATATACAAAGCAAAGAGGTTTAATGGAGAACTCACAGTTTCATGTGGCTGGGGAAGCCTCACAATCATGGCAGAAGGCAAGGAGAAGCAAGTCACATCTTACATGGATGGCAGCAGGCAAACAGAGAGCTTGTGCAGGGAAACTCCCCCTTATAGAACCATCAGATCTCATGAGACTTACTCACTATCACGAGAACAGCATGGGAAAGATCTACCCCCACAATTCAATTACCTCCCACTGTGTACCTCCCACAACATGTGGGAATTCAAGATGAGATTTGGGTGGGAACACAGACAAGCCATATCATTCCACCCCTGACCCCTCCCAAATCTCATGTCCTCACATTTCAAAACCAGTCATGCCTTCCCAACAGTTCCCCAAAGGTTTAACTCATTTTGGCATCCAAAGTCTCATGTGATACAAGGCAAGTCCCTTCTACCTATGAGCCTATAAAATCAAAAGCAAGTTAGTTACTTCCTAGATAAAATGAGGGTACAGGCATTGGGTAAATACACCCAGGTCATGCTGATGCAAGAGGTGGATTCCCATGGTCTTGGACAGCTCCACCCCTGTGGCTTTGCAGGGTACAGCCGTCCTCCCAGCTGCCTTCACGGGCTGGTGTTGAATGTCTGTGGCTTTTCTAGGCACATGGTGCAAGCTGTCAGTGGATCTACCATTCTGGGGTCTGGAGGATGGTAGCCCTCTTCTCACAGCTCCACTAGGCGGTGCCCCAGTAGGAACTCTGTGTGGGGGCTCCAACCCCACATTTCCCTTCTGCACTGCCCTAGCAGAGGTTCTCCATGAGGGCCCCACTCCTGCAGGAAACTTCTGCCTGGGCATCCAGGCATTTCCATACAACTTCTGAAATCTAGACAGAGGTTCCCAAACCCCAATTCTTGACTTCTGTGCACTCGCAGGCTCAACACCACATGGAAGCTGCCAAGGCTCGGGGCTTGCACCCTCTGAAGCCATGGCCCAAGCTCTACATTGTTCCCTTTCAGCCACAGCTGAAGCAACTGGGGCGCAGGGCACCAAGTCCCTAGGCTGCACACAGCACAGGGACCCTGGGCCCAGCCCATGAGACCACATTTTACCCCTAGGCCTCTGGGCCTGTAATGGGAGGGGCTGCTGTAAAGACCTCTGACCTGCCCTGGAGACATTTTCCCTACTGTCTTGAGGATCAACATTCGGCTCCTCATTACTTATGTAAATTTCTGCAGCCAGCTTGAATTTTCTCTTCAGAATATGGGATTTTTTTCTATCACATTGTCAGGCTGCAAATTTTCCAAACTTTTATGCTCTGCTTCCCTTATAAAACTGAATGCTTTCAACAGCACCCAAGTCACCTTTTGAATGCTTTGCTGCTTAGAAATTTCTTCCGCTGGAAACCTAAATCATCTCTCTCAAGTTCAAATTTCCACTAAGCTCAAGGGCAGGGGCAAAATGCCGCCAATCTCTTTGCTAAAACATAACAAGAGTCACCTTTGCTCCAGTTCCCAATGAGTTCCTCATCTCCATCTGAAACCACCTCAGCTTGGCTTTTATTGTCCATATCATTATGAGCATTTTGGTCAAAGCCATTCAACAAGTCTCTAGGAAGTTCCAAAGCGTCCCACATTTTCCTGTCTTCTGAGCACTCCAAACTGTTCCAATCTCTGCCTGTTACCCAGTTCCAAAGTCACTTCCACATTTTCAAGTATCTTTTCAGCAGCACCCCACTCTACTGGTACCAATTTACTGTATTAGTCCATTTTCAGGCTGCTGATAAAGACATACCTGAGACCAGGCAATTTACAAAGGAAAGAGGTTTGAAGGAGAACTCACAGTGACATGTGGCTGGGGAAGCCTCACACAATCGTGGCAGAAGGCAAGGCGGAGCAAGTCACATCTTACAATGGATAGCAGCAGGAAAAGAGAGAGCTTGTGCAGGGAAATTCCCCCTTATAGAACCATCAGATCTCATGAGACTTATTCAGCATCACGAGAACAGCATGGCAAAGACATACCCCCATGATTCAATTACCTCCCACAAGTCCTTCCCACAACACATGGGAATTCAAGATGAGATCTGGGGTGGGGACACAGCCAAACCGTATCATCTTCCAGTGAAGTATATGTACTCAAATTTTTGTCTCAGGGTCTTCTGTTTCAGGAACCAAACAAAGGCAGGAAGCTTGGCTGTTCAATGAAGAAATATATGTTTCTCCTGGAGAAATGAAATTTTTGATATCTATTCATGACCCTATGTGATTTTATAAAATCATATCTCTGACAGTTCTGCCTGTTAAATGACAACCCCACAAGAAGAGAGCACTTAGTCTGGGCCACTAAAGATCAATGCCATAAGATAAGGCTTTGGTATTTCTATTTCTATCCTACAACTAGTAAAGGAAGGCAGCAGGTCTGTGCCCAAAAGGCAAATAAAGGAACAAAACAAACAAACAAAGCTACTTAATATAGAGGAGAATGGTTCAAGCTATTAAAGCTGCTTGATGTACCAAATTAATCAAACAAAAAGCATAGCCTGAGCCCTGGGAGAGTCTGGTTTGGCAACTCACTACGGCCAGCCAGACATTTTCGCAGAGTACAGCAATTTCTCACAAGAGTTACAGCTGATGAGGGGTGAGGGGACAAAGACTGAAAAGACTGGCCTGAGGCCCAGAGTTTAAAAAGTACAAGATGAGCCTGAAACATCTGGTCATGCCAGAAAGCAAGAAACTATCAAAGGCTTTGGGGGTCAGATCAACAAGACCTGAAGAGCCATCATGCAGAGGCTCCTGGTCAAAGACGAATGAATTTAAGCATCAGTAACAATAACTGTAATGAATTAAAACACACCACATTATTTTAAACCCAGGAGTTAATGATATATTAACAAATCAAGTTGTCTTCAGAAGATGTGAAAGATCTACACATTATTTTGAAAACTGGAAAATAAAGAAAAAGAAAGAATTTATCCTATCCTTCCTAAAGGAACCTGTACTCAGGATTACCAAATAGTTGATCAGGAAAAACTCTTTACACAAGTATTCCAACTAATAAATGAAGAAGAAATGACAGAATATCACCATTTTGCAACACTTAACAAATTAACGGATCTAAGCAAAGACGACTGAAGGTTGCCATATTATATGCCTCTAATGAAAGAATATGTTACCTGTGAGATAGTCTTTGCCAGAAACCAAAACCAAAACAAAACAAAACCTGAACCTGAGTAAGCCTCTACATCAAACTACCACATCAAATGACACCACAGAAATGAAATCATCAAAATCAAACTGTGGAAAACTAGAGAACAAATGGCCCAGCTTCTTTACAAATAAATATAAAACAAAGAAGAAAAAGAAGACAGAAAAAAATAATGAAGAGAAGGCAAAGAAATGAGAACCAAGAGAAGAAGAATATGAAGAAAACAAGGAGGAGGAAAAGGAGAAAAAGACAAAGAAAAAAAGGAGGAATAAGGGAACAAGATAACTGCAAATAAGAGAGCTAAATGACATATCAACCTATTGCAATGTGCACACAATCAGTATCCACACAACTGTAAAGCACACACACATTTTACATATGTATGTTTGTATATGTATGTACATATGTATACGTGTGTGTATATATATAGCAACCAAAAAAATTGAATAATGACTAGTAATAAAAGATTTAAGGATTAGCATTGATTTTTTTTAAAGTGTGTCAATGATATTAAAGTTGTTTACAAAGAGAGTCCATAGCTTATAAAGACACATACTGAATACTTATGGATGACACGATATGACGCTCGGAATTTGCTTCAAAATTATTTGGGAAAAAGCTGATGGAGGACATATGAAATAGAATTGACCATGAGTTGATAGCTGTGAAACTGTGTGATAGGTACATAAGAGTTCATTATACCATTCTCTTTACATTTCTAAGTGTTTGAAATTTTCCATTTCAAAAATATTTTTAAGTGATTTTCTCCAAGACTCCACATATTGCCACCAAGATTTGATTTCACACGGTAAACCAATATAATTTACGTTGAAATAATTTTCATTCAGCATACTTACAGAGTTGGAAAAAACCTTATAATGAAGGCAGCCAGAAATTTTATCACCAAAAATGGGACACCCAGAGTGGGAAAAAAGGGCATTATTAATAATTAACCAGGACAACAGACATAGAGAGGGATATGGTTAATTGCCCTCCATATCTTATTCAGCTCAGTTTCTGACATAGTTGAACTCACAATTATCCCTTAAAACATACCCCATCTCCAATAAGGCAGTTATACTATGTCTATTTCAATTTCTCCTGTAACAAAAACCTCATTATTTCCCAAAGCAGTTCCTTATATTAGAGGACAACATCAATTATTAAAAACTCTCTGCAGAGTGAAAATCTGTTTCCTAATAACTTCTACTTGGTAGCATTGGTTTTATTTTCTAGAAGAACAGAATGTGATGAGTAGAAAGAATCCAGAACTGAGAACAGAGAATTGGATCTGCTAAGAACCAATAAAATCATCTTGGACAATTTATAAAACCTAAAACCTATCTAAGCCTCCATTTCCACCTCTTTCTATCTTTAAAAACCAGCACTCTTAGCTTCTTCAAGCAGTGTGTAATGTGTCATGATTTCTGTCGAACACACCCTAATGTTGTTCCTACACTGTGCTGCCCAAAAGTCAATACAACACTCATGTATGGCCTACCATATTACAGGCACAGCACAACAACCTCATTCCACACTGTAGACCCAAAGTTTTGCTAATCCAGCACAAGACTGGGTTAGCTTTTGCAGTAATTGCACTACATTATTGGTTCATACTATACATCGCAGATAATTTTTTCATGTAACTGCTTTCCTCTACTTATACAACTAATTTTGGAAACCTAAATAATGGATGTCTTCATCTGTTTTGTGTTACTATCACAGAATACCTGAGACTGGGGAATTTATATAAAGAAAAAGGTTTATTTAGTGCACAGTTCCACAGGCTGGGAAGTTCAAGTTTGAGCGGTCAAGTGTGGTAGCTTCTAGTGAGGGCCTCATGCTGCATCGAAACATGGCAGAGAAATGGAAGGGAAAGCAGGTACATGAGAAGGGAAAAGGGCAACACATGAGAGGTTCATTTTATAACAACCCACTCTCTTGGGAACTAATCCATTCTCATGAGAACTAATCTGGTATCAAGAGACATACACTAATCCATCCATCTTCATGATCTGATCACCTCTTAAAGGTACCACCTCTCAACAGCACTACATTGAAGACAAAGCCTCAATATGGCAAACCATATTCAAACCATAGCAATGGACTTTACTCTTATTACATCCTGCTGCTTCCAAACCAACGTACTAACCTACTGGGATAGAATGAAATTTTGTCATATGTCACAGTAGCTGTCTCTTTAAACTTGAGTCCTCCACAAGTTGAACAAGTATGTTATATCACTCAGAAAAATGTTGAATAAAACAGAGTCAAAAATACAACCCTAGAGTATTTCATCTGAGATTTTCCAATGATTGTTCCATTTACTGCAAATCTACTTAACTATATTTTGGTATAATAACATATGAAACATCTAGAAAGACATCAGAGGGAAATTGTTAAATTTTCTGCTGAAATGATTTGCTATGTCAGCTGATCTACCATTAAAAAACCGTTAAGACTAGTTTGGTATAACTTGCTTCTATGTAAATCCATGTTGGCTACTAAAGATATAACAGGTTTTAAATGCTCTCAGACAATTTACTGAATCCTTTAAGAATATATCCTTCCTTCTTTTCTTTTTCTTTTTTTTTTTTTTTTTTTTTTTTGAGAAAGAGTCTTTCTCTGTCACCCAGGCTGGAATGCAGTGGTGCAATCTCAGCTCACCGCAACCTCTGCCTCCCAGGTTCAAGCAATTCTCCTCCCTCAGCCTCTGGAGTAGCTGGGATTACAAGCATGCGCCAACAAGCCCAGGTAATTTCTGTATTTTTAGTAGACACGGGGTTTTGCCATGTTGGCCAGGCTGGTCTCGAACTCCTGACTTCAGGTGATCCACCCGCTTCAGCCTCCCAAAGTGCTGGGATTGCAGGCGTGAGCCACCTTGCCTGGCCTCTCCTTCTTTTCTTTAAATATTGGGACAACGATTTCCTTCATCTATAGTCTGCTGCCATTATCCACAATTTCTTCAACCAGATGATTACTGTGGTAATTCTAGTAATTCCACTTGTCAAAAAGATCAACACTATAAAAGGAATTTTGGTATGGTTAATTAGTTCAAATAAGAATTCTGCTGAGAGCTCCTTTCAGTACCATAAAACTGTCAATGCAAATAAGAAAATAAAGTTGTTTTGTTCCTACGACAAAAATATTTTTTGAATGAGCACTGTAATGTTGTCTCGTGGATAATATTCTTTTTAATGATAGTAGCTACATATGCATTTACCAAGAACACTACTAAAGCAATTGCTACAATAGGTAGTAAATTAGATGACATCAAATGGTCTTTAGCTCTAAAAACATATGCAGTTCTTTCAGTTCAGTTAATTATTAAGATGACATAAATTCTGACAAACCCATGTTTCTTAAGAGGTACTATAGCAAAATAGTAGCTTGAAGAGCTAATATTCTATTTTAATTAAATTTGCTTTTGACCATATCAAATTTCTTTCTGATCCCTTCTGTTTCATAAAATAAAACTGGGTACTTATTTAAATCAAAAGCTACAGTTAAAATCTTTTGATAACTTCATTTCTAAATACATTTTAAGTACATTTGAAAATGAAAACCCAATTTTTTCACTCACAAATGCTCAAAGAGTTTAGCTATACGTATCTGGTCCACTTTATTATCTTGACCTTTAAGTTTCCTTCCCTCATATTTCCCACATTAAAGAAAAACCACCAGGCACAGTGGCTCACACCTGTAATCCCACCACTTTGGGAGGCCAGGAGGATCCCTTGAAGCTAGGAGTTAGAGACCACCCTAGGCAATAAAGCAATGCCCTGTCTCCATAAAAAATTAAAACATTAGCCAGATGCAGTGGCTTACACCAGTAATCCCAGAAACTTGAGAGGCTGAAGCCGGAGGATTGCTTTAACCCAGGAGTTTGAGGCTGCAGCAAGCTATGATTCAGTACATTCCAGCCTGGGTGACACAGAGTGAGATCTCATTTCTTAAAAAAAAGAAACAAACAAAAATTTCCAAATGATTTTAGAAAGTAGTTCAAAACTGTTGTTTAACTTATGAATCAAAAAGATATAATTAAGGGGGGCCAGGCATGGTAGCACACGCCTGTAATCTCACTATTTTGGGAGGCTGAGGCAGGATAATCATTTGAGCCCAGGAGTTTGCGATCAGCCTGGACAACATAGTGAGACCCCATCTCTACAAAAAAAATTTAAAAATTAGCCAGATGCGGGGGTGCATGCCTGTAGTCCCAGCTACTCAGGAGGCTGAGATGGGAGGATCACTTGAGCCTAGGAGGTCAAGGTTACGGTGAGCTATGATTGCACCACTGCACTCCAGCCTGGGTGACAGAGTGAGACCCTCTCTCTCAAAAAAAAAAAAAAAAAAAAAGATAATTAAGGGAATTAGAGATGTATTAGGCCAGGTAATAGAAGTGAATCACAAATCCATATTACTGGGTCAAGGCATAGAAGATACAATCACATGCTAACTACAGATACTCCTCAACTTACAATGGGGTTACCTCCCAGTAAGCCCATCATAAGCTGAAAATATTGTTAAGTAAAAAATGCATTTAATAACCTACTGAACATCATAGCTTAACCTAGCCTACCTTAAATGTGCTCAGAACACTTACATTAGCTTATAGGTAGGCAAAATCATCTAACACAAAGTCTATTTTATAATAAAGTGTTGACTATCTCATGTAATTGATTGACTACTATACTGGAAGTGAAAAGCAGAATGGTTGCATGGGTACTCAAAGCATAGTTTCTACTGAATGTGTATCACTTTCGCACCACCGCAAAGGGAAAAAATCCTAAGTTGAACCATTGTAAGTTTGAGGATCGGACCGTCTGTTGTCTTAAAAACACATATAGCAAAATAAAGCACTTAGGACTATTCTCTACATCTCAAAGCTGAAACTGAGCCTTTGTCTCACATAAGCCTGATTAACTTCTCACCCTGTCTTCACCAATTTCTGCAGGTGATTTCTGTCCTCAGAAACAAAAAAAAAATAACCAACCACAAGTTGTTACTCCTAAAGTGTCTAAGAGATGGCCACACAATAATGGAAGTTTTTCAGTTTACTTCCCAATGCCAACTGACCACCACCTTCCCCAGCTGATGTATGGCAGAAGGCATTAGCATCTGATAGTGTGTTTGCTTCCTATTCAGCAAAGCCATTGCTTATCCTTATTTCTCATCATAAGCAGTTGATTTGCTCTTATCTACTAATACTGAGAAGCAGGTTATTATTGTATGATAATAAAGATGATATTTATTTCCTAACATGTGAAGTGGAAAAAGCATTGGGCTTGGGACTCAGAAGTCCTGGACTTGAGTTCCAGGTCCCTGATCTCCCAGTTATTTGACCTCAGGCTAGTCACTTAGGCTCTGTGGTCCTGTCTTATATGTAAAGCAAGACAGCCAGCCCTCAGAAAGTTGTTGGAAGATTAAAATGAGATCATTTTAAGTAAAACTACTTTGGAAAATACGAAATGTTATATGACTGTAAATATTTCTTTCTAATTCCTAGCTGAGCTACGCAAAGTAGAAACTTAAGGCTGATGTGGCACAGCTCGACACAGACAAGCAACACTTGCCAAAAAATCAGTAGAAATAACCACAGAATGCTAGCTGGGGAGAAAAAAAAAACCACACCAATCTTTCTTTGAATTCTGAGTTCATTGTTTAACAATGAGTCTTTTGCTGACTGCACACACAGGCACAAACCAGAGCACTAGCAGCAGAATCAAACTTGCACACAAAGGGCAATCTTGGACTATGCCTTATACTTTAGCTCCCACAAAATAGTGCTTGGAAGTCTGTGCAAAACTCCACCCGCCTTCACAAACTTTGTGAAAATCAAGTTTATTAGCCTGTGGAATTCATGAAAAAAACTGAATACTTTCTACTGTCAAATAACTCTGAAATGCCCAGTAACTGGATAAGAAAGATGTAAAAAAAATGGTATGAAGGATCCTTTGAGTTCACACACGACAGATCTAAACAATAAGTCTAACAATGAACAAAAGCAAGTCCAGTAATCCACAGAAGATGAAGTGGGGAAAAAAATCTATTGAAATGAATGAAAAATTAAGATGCTGAAAAATTAGGATGAAGCAATCAGAATTCTTCAAAAGTAGACATAAAAAATGCTTTTCAGAAGCAATGAATGAAAAGACTAAAAAATAAAAATAAAACTATGACCAGAGTAAAAACGGTTAAAGACACACAAGCTCTAGCCAACATTCACTGAAAGTACGAAAAAAAAAAATCAAGCAAAAGAAAATGAGCAGTTTTTCAAAAGCAATAGCATCAAAATGGCAATTTTTTCTGATAGTTTAAATGTAAGTTGATGATAACAAAGGACAAAGACAGTTGTGCCTCTGCCAGGAAAATTACGCAAGTCAGACAGAAGGAAATCAAGCAGTGTCTGTGACAGCGAGTTATCTACATGTATTGCAGTTTTCAGGGAAGAAGTAGAGAAAGAAGCAAACACAAGTCACAACATCTCAGAAGTGCCAAGGTCACTCCAACACAGCAGGAAAAAAAAAAACAGAACATTAAGAAATATTGAAATAGAAGCATGTGACAGAGATTAAAAGTGAAATATATTAGACTCCTGATAACCTAGGAGCAAATTCTATCTTCTGACTAGACTACATAAAGATTGGATATATCACAGTTATCCTGTCATGAAACTACTGTTCTTTTATCCAGTAATAGTATTTTAATGAGGCTCTCCAGCATCTCTCTTCATGAAACATTAATTAAAAGATTCCAACAATTAATTAGGTATCTTATGTCACTAAATGGAAAACTGTCTGTCTAAAACTTGCAGGATTCCTAGGCTCTTAGGACCATATTTAAACAAGGAGCATGTAATCCTTCACAGAAACAATACATTGACTCGCATGTGGTTGGTGACCAGATTGCTGGATGCTACAGAAAACAATTCTTACTTTTATAGAAGCAACTCTGCCACTCAATTAGCAACTCATGCTGAGTCCTCAATTTGGACAAAAGCTCTCTAAAGCTTCATAGTTAGAACTGGAGATTTGTTGCCTTCTTCTCTCAAGAAAGCACTTAAAATCTAAGTACCCACTCTAAAGGTGGTGTCCTTCCATTTCACAAAACTACAAGTGGCTTTGGGTTATTCAAATTCCTCAAGTTATCTTGAGATTCAGAACTCACGAACACAGAGCCACATTGAGCCCAAGGCACTCCTCTGGAAAAAACCATCTCTCCTTCTTCTGCAGGGCTCAAAGTACTTCACACTGATAGTGTATACTGTGTGCAAATTCTCCCAAGGAAGGCAGACCACTCACACTTAATGACAAAATGCCAAGCCTCTGTCTGTCTTTCCTCACAAGAGTATTTGTTAGGCAAGAAGCTAAAGGTCAGTCATCTATACCATCTTCAATACTTTCCACCAAGCAGCCAGGCCTTTGTAGACCTTCTACCTCTTGGCAGGTGAGCTCTACTTCAACTTCATAAAAAATAAAAATTAAAAAAAAACTAAATATACATATATACATATATATGTGTGTGTATATATAAACATATATAAGTTTATGCATATATGTATATGTATATATGTTATATATATACATTTATAAACATTTATATGTATATATATAAAATATATAAAGCAGCCAGTGGAATTCTTGAAAAAACTAAATGCTGTTTACTGTCATCAGTTGTGAATTCCTCACCCTTTCTCCTCAATATTCACCCATTTCTTTCCTAATCCTTTTGTCTTTTCCTTCTCCCTCTGGAGACTTAACCTCTATATCTCTGCTCTTCTCCCCATCTCTTCCACCCTCCTACAGGCTCTTGTCCACTCCTATTCTTCAGGGTCTACATTCCAATTACTACTGCCACCTACAAAACTACCCCAAACTCAGTGCTTAAAACAACCATTTTCTTATGCTCATAGATTCTGTGGGTTAGAAATATAGGCAGAATGTAGTTGGGTGATTCTTCTGCTCCTCACAGCATTGACTGAGATCACTCAATGGTGTTCAGCTGGTAGTGCTCAGTTTGAAAGGCCGAACACAATTTCACTGACATTTCTGATGCCTGGGCTGGGAAACCTCCAAGATAAAAACTGACAACTGCAGCACCTACATGTGGCCTCTTCATGTAGTTTGGCTACCTGACAGCATGGCAACCTCAATATAGACAGACTTCTTATGCAGTGGTGCAGGGCTCCAAGCAAAAGTATTCCTGCTAGAGTAAGATGAAAGCCTCATTGCCTTTTATGACCCAGCCTTGAAAGTCATACGGCATAATAAGCATCATATTCTGTTGGCCAAAATAATCACAAGCCCACCCAGATTCAAGAGGAGGAAAATTATACCTGGAGGAGTGGTAAGGTCATGGTATAGAAGAGCATGTGGAATGGGAAATGCTGTTGTGGCCATCTTTGGAAAACACAGTCTGCTACAGTCTCTTACTTAACTTACTACTTCCTTTTCATCTAAAATCATGCTCTACCGAATTCTTTTTTAAAATGTCTACTCTTAGTGCTGTCTAGAGTAGGCTTAGATAAAGAAATAATGAGATGGTAATTCTAGGCAGAGATAAAAGAAGCAAAACTTAGAGGGTAGAAAGCAAATTATGTGCTCAAGGAATGTTGAAGAATAGCAGATAGTGTTGAAAAGTGAGCTTAAGGACAGGCTATCAAGGCAATCTGGTTTAGTAGAAAATGGGGTAAAGAGAATGCTGGAAAGATTATGATGGTGCCAAAAAAAATGGAGGCCATCAAATACTGTACTTCAAAATTTGGACTGAGTAGGTCCTCAATAGTAACTGGTGCATAGATGAATGAATTAAAGTACTTTGAAAATTGTGGATCCTTTTCTTTCTACAGGAGATTGTCATCCCTGCAATTGCCTGGCACTTGTTTTACCCAAGTGTAGTGAGATAATGTTGCAGAAAACAGAAAAAGGAGAAACAGGAAGACAATAACCAACATTTTTTTAGCCAGAGAAGAAACAGTTTTGCAATTTGCTCTACACTGGGATGACCAAAGCGTCTGATTTCAACATTAAGTAGCATTCATTCCTTAGTCATGATATACTTTAGGCATACTGTCGAGCAACACATCTTGTGTCTAAATAATCATTTCATGATTTGCTTATCAGATTCATCCCAAGGACAGAATCAAAAGCTCTGCTAAAATTGGGATAAATTAAATTTATCTTTTGCTTCCAATGTACTATACTCATCATTCTGTAATAAGAATTGATCTATTAAGAATTGTTTTTTACAAAGCAAAATTGGTTAGTCCTATACTAGTCCAAATGTTGGCAAACTACTTTTGTGATTCTTTTTCTGAGTTCTTTCTAAATATGTATGTCAACCTGCTCTATATAACCTTCATAATTATCTTTTACTTTCTTTAATGCAGAAACTATGCTGCTGCTTTTCAAATCTTTAGATACTTCCTTATCCCACTGGAAGATTCCCAAAATTACCTAGTGTCCTTCCAATTAAGAATTTCCACATAAGACATCATCTTTTAGTGCCTTTGTATCACTCATTTAATAAACATTTCCTGATTGTCTACTGTGTGGGTCATCGGCAACAGATCTTGGAAATCACAGAGGATTCTTGCTCCTAGAATTTAACAATATATTATTTTAGAGACTAAAGATTTGGTTTGATAGAAATAATCTGGACATCAAATTCTTTCATATCTCAAATCCAAAAATTTCTTCCTTCATGCCATCCTTAGCGCACTATCAGGATTTGGGGTGTTTCTATGATGTTATTGCTTGATACCCATAAATCTGACATAAATTTGGCCTTCAAAAAGTTTACTATTTTTCTATAAAGCAGCACAACTTATCTTTCCTTTCCCTTCATTTATGTTAGGAACCAGAACATAAAAGAAACCAAGAGCTACATTAATAATCTTGTTTAACTCTACAGAAGATATGGTTTTCGTAAAGATGAAAAGAAGACAACTCAGAAGTATAAAAGATCTGTGCCATCATAGATTATTAAGAATACCATTTAAAATAATTCATGCATGAGGTTGTATCCTCTTTATAAACAGGTTCCTCTCTTAGGTGAACTGGGGTAAAGGTAATCACCATTCTACAGGAAAAAAAAAACATGTTGCCAAAATGTGACCTGTGAGTCATAAGAAAGGAGGAAAATTGCTCATTTTTCTAAATCTCACAACATAGGTCACCCATTATGGAATGAGAAATCAGAAACACTAAAACGATACTTTTATTTTAACATTAAATAGTCCAAAAAAAGTGCTTTAACTATCTCTGTTCGTATAGTTTGAAAATCCAGTGCAAATATTCAAGTCATACCCAAGGTAAATAGTCTTACCCAATGCTGATATTAGGAATAGAAAAATCTCAATGTTAAGGGAATAAAACACAGAGAAGAAATTAGGCCATGTTACTGTCCTTGACAATCAAAGCCTAAAACAAAATAAAACTAAAAATTCCCGTGTGACTCTGAAGACAAGCATAACTTCATTTGCAATGGGGAGGAAACTTCCACTAATGCACATATCTGTGTTATGGAAAAACCAGACAAGATTTACAAATGATATAAAAGATCACTCAAGTTTTTGCCCTAGACCAACAAAACGATCAGAGTAATTTCAAATTGCTACCTAGTAACTTTAGAATTTGCCAAAGTTTGAAGTTTTTTGTTCTTTAAAGGAAGAAAGCAGCAATGAGTAACAATAGTGTGCTTCCTGGCCTTAGGAAGAGTGAGACAGGAGCTCTCCAGCTGCACTTCCTAGCAAAGTATGCCAGCTGCCTTCTGCAAACTGAGATCAAATTGCCAAGAACTTACAGGAGAGCAGTTATGATGGATGACCTAAAATACTGATCTGTTGCAAAGAGGATGTAGTGCAAACCACACAGGAACTGACAGGAAATCAGCCCTTGGGCTGGCAACTACAGATTCAAGAAGGCTAGGAATCCTGGACCTTTGACAGCCAAATTTCATCATCTTCCTTTGTAGGAAGAGTTACATTTCTGAGAGAGCAGTCTGAAAAATCTTGTACAAAGCTTTTTGGTGTCTATTACTATTTAATAATACTGCCCCCTGCCTGAACCACTGGTTTCCTCACATGTGTTAAAAGCCCATCGAAGGTCCCAGAGCACTACTTGACCAAAAATCACATGTTTGCTGGCACACACCTTCATTCTCTCAGCCACGAGCCCACTGAATGCCATAAATGATTCACAGGCTGTCATGGTGGTAAGAAGAAAAACTAATATTTGGAGTTCACCAAATAGTGAGTCATATTTCTGGAAGAAAAGAAAGCCTTACAATTGGCAATGCTTTGGCATGAAATTTTAAAAATTGTTTTTAACATTAATATTAATTCGACGAAAGTTGGCAAAAAGAAATTGATTGAGAAACGTGATATTTGGTCGGCTTATGCCACATAAAAGTCCAGTTCATGCTCCAAGAAAAAGGATGAGTAGGATATCTATTACCTATTTCTAGACTTGCCTTCTGTACTCACTGCTGCCAAGTTACTCATTCTCCCACACAACACTTTCCATACTAATTTTGACCCTTAAGAATCAAAAAGAAGTCTTGCCTTCTTTGCTCCCAAATGCCAAAATGGAATCTTTTAGTATTTCACCTTTATAAAGGGAATGTTTGAAAACAGCCCTCTTTGGCTGTGACATCAGTGAGTTGCTGAGGCCTCCAAGGGCCGGAGGAAGCATTCCCAGTCCCTCACAGTGCTGCTGCACTCCTACGGTGCAATCTGGCAATGGCCAGCGACCAAATCTTTAAAGCTGTTTTATGGTATTTAACATATGGTCATAAATTGCTCAGTGCTCTAAAGAGGGGCTAAATTTGCCGCCCCTATTGATGAGACATGTTCTTATTTATTTAAATTTAGTGGCAAGCTGGCATTTCTCCAGATGGAGAGGTTTAGGCATAAGTACAAAGGAAGAACTAACTAGAAATGAGTTGTAACTTTTCTATACACTGAATGCAACCCCACAAACTCAGGCTTCTGTGCCCAAGTTTGTGCACCGCTATCAAACACAGCTTACCAAATAGAAAGACAATAATATGAAAAGACTCTAATTTCTAAGGGCCAAGGAGGGATGAAACAAATTTTATTCAGACTGGATACGAATTTTGTTTTTAATCTCCTTCTCTTTCTCCTCAGGCTAGCTCTATTCCCACCCATCTCTCTTACCTGTCTCTTTATTCCCCTCACAAATTAGATGTATCTGGTCTTCATCTGAAATCCCACATCTGCAAAACTCTCTAGAACTTCCTTAATCTTCTGGCATTCACCTTCTTATTTTGCCATATTTTTCATTGTTTATTTTTTAATGGTTTTAATTTTCCATCACTAAAAACATGATCATACTTAAACATTTTGTTCCCTTCCTTTTACGAGCTAGCCCTGTAGCCAAAGGCAGAAAAAAAGAAATATTTTTTTTTTTTTTGGTGAGATCGTTGGTAATGATATTAATGTAGATGGTATCAAAAGAGAAGTGTGGGCCCAGTGCGGTGGTTCATGCCTATAATCCCAGCACTTTGGGAAGCCGAGGAGGGAGGATCACTTGAGCCCAAGAATTCGAAACCAGCCTGGGCAACATATAGAGACTCTGTCACTACGGTGGTTCATGCCTGTAATCCCAGCACTGTGGTAGGCCAAGGCAGGAGGATCACTTGAGCCCAAGAATTCAAGACCATCCTGGGCAACACAGGTAGACCCTGTCTCTATACAAAGTAAAAAAATTAGCCAGGCGAGGAGCTCAGGCTCCTCCCACCCCAGCTACTTGGGAGCCTGGGGTAGGAGGATCTGCTTGAGCCCAGGAGTTCAAGGCTGCAGTAAGCCATGATTGTAACACTGCACTCCAGCCTGGGCGACAGAGCAAGCCTCTGTCTCAAAGAAAATTAAAAAATAAAAAATTAGCCAGACATAGTGGCACACACCTGTAGTCCTAGCTACTCAGGAGGATCACCTAAACTCAGGAGTTCGAGTCTGCAGTGAGCCAAGATTATACCACTGCACTCCAGCCTGAGCGACACAGCAGGACCTTGTTTCAAAAAAAGAGAGAGAGAGAAGTGTGAAGGGTAGAGCCACTACTGGTTTTCTTTTTCACGTGCCAATATAGAACTGGCTAAAGAATCAAAAGTTAATTATCTTGCCTAACTCTGGAATGTGAAGAAAGATTTCAATAAATTGGAGGTTTGACAGCAGCCTGGGAACAGTATTAAAAGAATTATTCTATGAAGAATTAGGCTGTTTATATCAGACAGAAGTCTTGCTTTTTAATTTCAATACACAATTGTTTCCCCTGAAGCAGACCTAGTGAAAATCAACGGAGATCAGTGGTCGGATAATGCTACATGAAGCCTGCTATGCATCCCAAACTGGTCTGGAGTGCCTGTAACATTTGGAGCACCCATAATATGTCCCAAAAGGTCTTATGCCAACTTCTGTCTCAAATATCCCAGAGATGAGAACAGTTCAATGCCCTTAAGAGCCAGAATAATAAAGAAAAAGAATAGTTCAAAACAAACATAAATACATTGGTGCCCTCTGGATACTTCCATTAAGCACCTAGTTTCCTAAACACCCTTCATTATGAGGCCAGGCCAGAATTTTTAAATCTCTGCTTTACCAACTCTGAAAAAGTATGTGTCCTGTCTTTTCTGATATGAAGACAGCATTACCAGTGCCATAAACTTGCAAAAAGGGAATCACTCTGAAATACAAAGATAACTAATAGAAATGTAAGCATTTCTTGACACTATGTAGACTCATCAATCCAGCACACAATAATCCCATTAAATGTAAATGGTCTAAACATCCCAATTGACAGGCAAAGACTGTCAGATTTAAAAGTAAAATCCAATTATATGCTACTCAAAAGAAATCTAAAGACACAAATAGGTTAAAAATAAAACAATGGAAAAGATGTACCGTGTAAAATTAATTTCAAGGCAAACAACATTTCCAAGGACAAAGAGTGTCAATTCAAGAGGACATAACATTCTTAAATGTTTACAAATTTAATAACAGAGCTTCAAAATAAATGAAGCAAAAAATGACAGAACAGCAAGAAGAAGTAGACAAATCCACAATTATAGTTTGTGATTTCCATATCCTTCTTCCAATAATTGATAGAAGAATGATGCAGAAGCTCAATAAAGATATGGTACACATTTAAACATAAACCCATAATTATAGTCAGAGATTGCAGTATCTCTCTTTAAAAAACTAAAATAGGGCGAGGGATAAAAGACTACAAATAGGGTGCAGCGTATACTGCTCCAGTGATGGGTGCACCAAAATCTCACAAATCACCACTAAAGAACTTACTCATGTAAACAAACATCACCTGTTCCCCAATAACCTACGGAAAAATAAAAAATTGAAAAAATTGAAAACTAAAATAACAAAAAGAAAATTAGTAACAATAGATCACATTTGAACAACTCTATTAACCAACTTGACCTAATTGCTATTATGGAACACTCTACCAAAGAAAAATAGAACACATTCTTTTCAGTGTACATTGAACATGTACTAAAATAATCTATATCCTGGGCCATAAAACAAATCTCAATACATTTAAAAGGATGTAAGTCATACAAAGTATGTTCTCTGACCACAATAAACTTAAATTCAAATTCAATAAAAGATCCAGAAAATTTTGTAAACCAAATAACATATTTCTAAATAACTCATAGGTCAAAAAAAATCTAAGGGAAATTCAGAACATGTGATGAGTGAAAATAAAAACACAACACAGCAAAATTTGTAGGATACATCTAAAACACCACTTAGCTGGAAATTTATAGCATTAAACACCAATATTAGGAAAAAAGAAAGATCTCAAATCAATGACCATGTTAATAAACTACGAAAAGAAGAGCAAGTGAAAGTAAAAGAATATTTAAAATCTGAATGGAAATCAATAAAACAGAAAACAGAAATACAACAGAGAAGATGGATGAAACCAAAAGCTGGTTCTTCCACAACATGAGTAAATGTTTACCACTTTTTTCTTTACCACTAGCCAGACTGGCAAAGAAAACAGTTGCGGGGGAGAAAGGAATGGCCAAGATCAGGAAACACAGAGGTAACATCACTACAAATTTTACACATTTTTTTAAAAGAATAAAAAAAATTTATGAAAAACTTTATGTCAATCAATTCAGCAACTTAGATGAAATGGACAAATTCCTTTAAAGACACAAATCAGCAACACTCATTCAAGATGAAGTAGATAATCTGAATAGATCTAAATCTATTAAGCAAATTTAATTTGTACTTTAAAACCTTCCCACAAAGAAAACTCCAGGCCCAGATGGTTTCACTGGCAAATTCTACCAAACATTTAAGGAAGAAATAATATGAATTCTTCACAAACCTTTGAAAAAAATGAAGAAAAGGGTTCACTTAGCAACTCATTCTATTCTGAAGCCAGCTTTACTATGAGGAAAAAAATAGGAAAAAGCATTCAAATAAAACTACAAACCAATATCATTCATGAATATAAATGAAAAACTCTAAAAAAACTTTAGCAAATTAAATCCAACAATATAGAGAAAGGACACTACATCAAAACAATCAGTTCATCCCAGGAATGCAAGGTAGACTGAATATTCAAAATTCAATGAATGAAAACCACCATATTAATAACATTAAAAGAGAAAAACCACATGATCATCTCAATAGATGAAGATAAGTATCTGCCAAAATCTAACATCCATTGTTGATTTTTTTCTGTGGTAGTCATTTCTACATTAATAACTTTATTAATTGCTAATGAAAATTAGAACTGTTATGGGTTCTTCTGACAAGATATTTTAAAATCTTAAAATGCCTTTTCTTCACTGAAGCCATCTTTAGAGTTAGTTATTGCTTTCATGTTACCTGTCATCTTGACTTCAACCTGATATTTTTTGTTCTCAACTCTCAAATTTTAAAAGTAGCTTCAAGTTAAGGAAAGGTCATTTTTCCACAGTTGATTTCTCTGAAAAACATCCGTCTCCTGCTGGAAGTCTAGGAGTGAATCTAGAACTTCAGGGCCAACTGGAAATTCATTACGAACACTTGCATTGGTTAATCTTATTTATCTCCACAAGCCAGAAAATGTACAGTCCTGAAAAAGGTGGTCTCTCTGTGCACACATATAATTTTTAAAAAGGAGAGGGCAACAGGAAGGGGACTGAGGCTTGATCACCAAAAAACAGCACAATGAAAACAAACAATACGGAATAATGAGCACTAGAATTCAAATTACCAGATGTTTTAAAGAGATGGGTGCCAGTTTTCAATTCCCTTTTCAACACCACACTACAAAAGAACTATTTTTAAAAATAAAAAAGGGTTGAGGGAAAAGAAAAAAATTAAAAGAATATCTAAACAGTTGAATGACCTTCTGTTTGTTCCTGATAAACTTAAATCACATCTTCTTCTTCCATCCCCAGTTCTTTTAGAGTATGATTATCAGCAATTATCTGACCTTCAAAGAGAAACCTCAGTGAATTCACTGGATGCCCTGTCTTCGACAATATGATTCTTTTTTTTTTTTTTTTGAGACGGAATCTCACTCTGTCGCCCAGGTTGGAGCGCAGTGGTGCGATCTCGGCTCACTGCAATCTCCGCCTCCCGGGTTCAAGCGATTCTCCTGCCTCGGCCTCCCAAGTACCTGGGATCACAGGCACCCATCACCACGCCTGGCTAATTTTTTGTATTTTTAGTAGAGACAGGATTTCACCATGTTGGCCAGCCTGGTCTCAAACTCCTGACCTCAGGTGATCCGCCTGTCTCGGCCTCCCAAAGTGCTGGGATTACAGGCGTAAGCCACCGCTCCCAGCCAACAATATGATTCTTTGAGTCTCTTAAGATGTGCTGTCATTTTCACTGAAGTAAATCTCACTGCTATCCTGTCCAGTGACTTTGAGTTCAATGTACTCGCCTTCCTTCTTATTCCCCAAGTCCTAAGTTGAAGGTTTTGGCTGCTGGTCAGACATGGTGACAGTGGCTTCCCCTGAGAGTCTTCGCACAGCAGCAGGCTGGGGTAGGCAGACCTTAGCTCTTGGTTTTACAAATCTGTCTCCCTTCCCCACAGGACAACACTGTGGCTGACCATTCCTGATTTTAAAAAACTAAACAAAACAAAAAATCCCCAACTAACTAGGTATAAAAGGGGACTTCATCAGTCTGATAAAGGGCATCTCTGAAAAATACATAGCCAACATAATATTAATACTTAATGGTGAAAGACAGAATTATTTTCCCCTAAAATCTGGAACAAGGCAAGAATATCTAATCTTAAAACTTTTTTTTTTATTTTTTGAGGTGGAGTCTCACTCTGTCATCCAGGCTGGAGTGCAGTGGCGTGATTTCAGCTCACTGCAACCTCCACCTCCCGGGTTCAAGCAATTCTCCTGCCTCAGCCTCCCAAGTAGCTGGGATTACAGGCATGCGCCATCATGCCTAAGTGATTTTTGTATTTTTAGTAGAGACAGGGTTTTGCCATGTTGGCCAGGCTGGTCTCTAACTCCTGACCTCAGGTGATCCACCCACCTCGGCCTCCCAAAGTACTGTGATTACAGGCGTGAGCCACCACACCCAGCCTTAACACTTTTCTACCAACAAAATATTGGAGATTCTAGTCAGTGCACTAAGGCAGGAAAGAAAGAAAAGGCATTCAGATTAGACAGGAAGGACTAAAACTGTCATTCACAGATGGCATAATTTTCTATGTAGGAAATCTTATGGAGTCTACAGACAAACTTCTGTAACTCAAACCTGAGTTTACCAAGGATATAACATCAATAGATAAAAAAAAAAATCAACTGTATCTCTATATATCAGCAATAAACAATCAGAAATTTAGAATTTAAAAAATATAATTTTCAACAGCATCAAAATATATTAAATATTTAATAAACAAAAAGAAGTGCAAAACCTGTACATGGAATACTAATAACATAGAAAACTAAAAAATTGACAAGATGATTCCAAATTTTATAGAGAAATGAAAAAAATCTAACATTTCCAAACCATTTTGGAAAAAAAAGGAATAAAAATTGGAGGATATATACCACCTGATTTCCAAACTTACTATCAAACTACAGCAATCAAAACTGTGGTTTCAATATAAAGTTAGATATATAGACCTACAGGACAGACTAGAAAGTTAAGAAAAATGCTCACACATATGTGGGAAATTAATTTTTGACAAAAGTGCAAGGGCAATTTAAAAGAGAAAGAGCATTCTTTTCATCAGATGATACTAGAATATGTGGATGTCCATACTTTTTAAAAACCTGTATCGTATACAAAAATAAACTCAAAATGGATCACAAACCTGAACATAAAACCTAAAGCTATAAAACATTTAAAAGAAAACATAGTACAAAAATCTTTGTGGCATGGAATTAGGCAGTTTCGTTAAGACAATAAAAAGACAAGCCACAGTCAGGGAGAAAATATTTGCAAATCATACATCTGATAAAAAACTTGTAACCTAAATATATGAAGAATTCTCAAAACTCAATGATAAGAATCCATTTTTTAAAAAGGCAAAAGGTTTGAACATTTTGCTAAAGACAATTTATCACATATAAAGAAATGAAATGTATAATAGCAGAAAAGGATGGCCAGAGGAGTTGAGTAGGGGAAAAAGAAGTATATAATATTGTTAGGTTCTTACATGATAAATGAAGTATTATAGTATTTTTAATGGTAGACTGTGAAAAGTTAAAGATATGTATTCTGAACACTAGAACAGCCATGGGGGAAAAAAATCAAACAATGACATATAGCTCAGAAGCCAACAGTAGAGACAAAATAAAATCCTAAAATATTAATTAATCCAAAAGAAGGCAGTAAAAGAAATGAAAAACAGATGACATAACAATTAGAAAATAAACAGCAAGATCCAGCCATAGTGGCAATCAGGTTAAAGATTAAATTACCTAAACACTCCATTTAAAAGGTAGACATTTTCAAGCATAAACAAAGAGCAGAAAACAATGAAATATACAGGAGAATAATAAAGAAAAATCTATGAAATAAAAAGCTGGTTATTTAAAAAAAAATAAAATTGTTAATCTTCTAGCTAGATTCATCAAGGAAAGCAGAGAAAAGACACAATGTACCAATGTCAGAAATGAAAGGGGAAATGAGTACAGGTCACACAGGCAGTAAAAGAATAAGGAGGAAATAGATGAATAACGGTATGCCAATAATTTCAACAACTTGGATGAAATGAACAAATTCCTTAAAAGACAAGGCTGTAAAAACTCGCTTAAGAATAATTTAAAAACCTGTTAGCCCTATATCTGTTAAAGAAATTGCATTTATAGTTAAAAACCTTCCCTCTCGCTCACTCTCTCTCTTGCTCTCTCTCTCTCTCCTCTCTTCTCCTCTCCTCTCCTCTCTCTTCTCTCCTCTCTCCTCTCTCTCTCGCCTCTCTTTCTCTCTCTCTCTATCTCGCTCCAGGTCCAGATGGCTTCATTGGTGAATTCTAACCTTCTAAGCTTTCAGGAAGAAATAAAATCAATCTTTCACAAACTCAGAAAACAGAGGACTGAATACTTCCCAACTTATTTTATAAACACAGCATTACTCTGGTGCCAAAACCAAGCAAAGAACTAAAAGTAAAGAAAAGAAATACAGCATCAAATACAGAAATGCAAAGTTCTTTAAAAAGACATGAGTGAATCAACTCCAGTAATACATCAGAAGGATCATACATAATAATCAAGCGGAATTAATCTGCAGAATGCAACAGTGGTTCAACATTTGAAAATCAGTTTATTTATCATATTAACAGAATAAAAGAAATAAACCAAGTAGACAGAGAAAAAAAATTAACATATATTAACATTCTTTTCATAATAAAAACTCTCAGCAAACTAAAATAGATGGGAACTTCCTTAGATTGATAAAAAGGCACCTAGAACTGACAATTACACCTGATGAAAGACTAACTACCTTCTTAAGACTGCGAATAAGGCAAGAAGGTCTGACTTCACCACTTCTACCTGCCACTGGCTATTAGGTATTGTCTACTGCACTAGATAGTACAATAAAACAAGAATGAGAAATATAAATTATATAGATTGGAAAGGAAGATACAAAACTATCTTTTTCACAAGCAAATGTGTTGAAGAAAATACCTAAGGAATCTACAAAAAAATTATTAGAATTAATAAGTAAATTTAGGGACATAGCAGCATCAGCATACAAGGTTAAATATACCAAAATCAATTACATTTCAATGAGTTCAGGAAAACAAAGTTCAAAAAAAAAAAAACCACACTACTATAAATTGGCATCAGAAAGTATGATATATTTAGAGGTAAATTTAACAAAATTGGATTAAGATATATTCACTGAAAACTATAAAATACTGCTCAGAGCAATTAAAAGTGACCTAAATAAATGGAGATGTTAGCATTTTTATCTCTTGGAAGACTCAGTGTTAAGATGTTAATTCTCTACAAACTGATCTACAGATTCCCAGCAGGATTTCTGTAAACAATTACAAGCTGATTCTAAAACTTCTATGGAAATGCAAAGGACTTAGAATATCCGAAACAGCTTTGAAAAAGAAGTTACAGGACTTATACTACCTTATTTAAAGACTTCCTATAAAGCTACAGTAGTCAGGATCGTGTTGTATTCACTTAAGGATAGACATATTAAGGGAATACAACATAAAGTCCAGAAATAGACCCACACTTAAATTGTTAATTAACAAATATATGATCAAAAGTAGCTCAAAGGCCAGGCATGGTAGCTCATGCCTGTAATCTCAGCACCTTGGGAGGCCAAGGTGGAAAGATCACTTTAGGCCAGGAGTTCGAGACCAGCCTGGGCAACACAGTGAAACCCCGTCTCTACAAAAATAAAATAAAAAATAAAAATTAGCCAGGTATGGTAGTATGTGCCTGTAGTCCCAGCTATTTGGGAGGCTGAGGCAGGAGGGGTTGCTTGAGCCCAGGAGGTCAAGGTTGCAGTGAGCTATGATTGCTATGATTGTGCCACTACACTACACCACAGGCTTTTTATTACTGGGTAATAAAGTGAGACCCTGTCTTTAAAAAAAAAAAAGGTAGCTCAAAATGGATCAACAATACTAATGTTGGCAAGAAAAAAAGGTAGCTCAAAATGGATCAACAATACCAATACTGGCAAGAATATAGAAAAACTAATGGATCAACAATACCAAATGTTGGCAAGACTGTAAAAGAACTAGAACCTCATAAATTGTTAGCAGGAATGTAAAATAGTGCAACTACTTTGGAAAACAGTTTAGCCCTTAAAAGTTAAGCATACACTCAGCTAACAACACAGTAATACTACTGCTAGGTATTTACCCAATAAAAATTAAAACACATCTCCAGAAAAAGACACGTACAAAAATGTAATGGCAAGTTTATTCATAATAGCCAAAAAATAGAAAAAAAAATCCGAATGTCCTTCAATGGATGAATAAATAAAAAACTGTGGTACAGCCATACAATGTAGTGCTATACAGCAATAAAAGGAACAAAGTACTGATGTAACATGGATGAATCTCAAAAACATAATGCTGACTGAAAGAGGCCATATACCAAAAACTACATAATATATTATTCCATTTATATAAAATTCTAAACAGGCAAAACTGTTTCAGTTTTAGAGAAATGAAAAGGCTCAGGGTTAAGAGGAAGGTGGTGGAGGGGACCGATTTGTGTGGGTAAGGAAATGTTCTATACCTTTAGGGAATGGAAATGTTCTTTATCTTGACTATGGTGTGGTTTTAAGTGTTTACAATTGCCAAAACACACAGAACTGTACACTTAAAGTGGGTACATTTTATTATATGTAAATTACACTACCTCAATAAAATTGATATTAAAGAGTGGGATATAAATTCTGACCTAAGAGTTATTGTGTCGATAAAATAAAATAATGCATGTAAATAAGCCTAACCATAAAATGCCCAATAAGTTAATTTAGTAATCATATCAGTCATTTTTAATAAACTATAATCAGTACCAAAGACAGATTATATATAATACATAGCTATAATTAAACTGACTTTATAAATTTAAATTAATAATATTAGTTGCTATTCCTAATATATTTCTTCTAACCCATGAATTCCAAGAAAATAAAATATTCTAAAACTCCAAGACAAAGGAATCCTGAATATCTAAGGAGAGAGAATGTCTAATCCAGAAAATTAGCACTCTTTACTTGCCTTTCAATGAGCATTTTGTAGAACATTCACTAAATCAAAGGTGACCTGCCTCCACAATTAGCCTCTAAAAATACCTTAAATGCTAGATAATAACAATCTTTAAGTAAATGAATCTTTTTAAAAGACAAAAATAAAAGTAAAATTATGCCTCTCAGCATGATGCAAAATACTAAGTCCCTAGACAGCATCCAACTTTTTACTTAGCTCAACTGTTGCAAGTCATAGTAAAAATGGTTAACTCCTACTCTCCTTGCAAGCATTCTTGCAGACTAGAAGAGAACTGGTCTAGGGAGCCTCCTAAATAGAGAGCACTTCCATTAGAGTGGCAGGTTTGTGAGCGCGAATGAAAAACCAAATACATCACAAGACAGGCTATTTTATTATTCCTTGGTTTGTCCTGCTAAAGCCAAAACAGTGTGGCAAAAGCAGAAGCAGGAAAGGAAGGCAGGGTATTTGGGAAGTATAATGGGCAAATCAGTCTTGCAGAGCAGCTTTCTGACTTGGCTTGTTGTTAGCTGAGCTCTAACTGGGAGGCTGGAATGTCACACTGTGACTGGCCTTGAATGCCAGGCTGAGAGATTCAGTCCACTAAAATACTGAAGGGGAAGTGGAAGCAGAAAGATTACTTGGTTAACATTTTCCAAACAGATTATTTTAAATAGTACAAGAAATTTTAAATAAAATAACATTGTCATCCCAACAAAAATGCCAACAGCTATAGTCACAACGGCCAGCTTTTGGACCTAGCGGCCAAGGTTCAAAATGTATGGTATGGGCAAGGTGCAGTGGCTCACGCCTGCAATCCCAACACTTTGGGAGGCCACAGTGGAAGGATAGCTTGAGCCCAGAAGTTCAAGATCACCTGGGCAATGAAGTGAAACCAAAACCCCGTCTCTACAAAAAAATGGTGATGCACACCTATAGTCCCAGCTACTCGGGAGGCTGAGGGTGGAGGATCACTTGAGCCAGTGAGGTCAGAGCTGCAGTGAGCTATAATGCACTCCAGGCTGGGCCACAAAGCAAGACCCTGTCTTAATAAATAAATAAATAAATAAATAAATAAATAAATAAATTTTTTAAGAAAGAATAAGTAAAACAGTTATTATCAGGTGCCCTGCCAACAATATTTCACTTAGATGGGGTTGGTAGGCAGGCTATGAAACAATTAAAGAACAGCCTATTACATTAAGAAACCAAGGCCGGGTGCAATGGCTCATGCCTGTAATCCCAGCACTTCAGGAGGCTGAGGCAGATGGACTGCTTGAGCCCAGGAGTTCAGATCAGCCTGGGTAACGTGGCATAAACCCATCCCTACAAAAAAAAAAAAAAATGCAAAAATTAGCGGGTGTGGTGGTGTGCACCTGTAGTACCAGATATCTGGGAGGCTGAGGTGGAGGGATTGCTTGAGCCAGGGAGGCAGAGGTTGCTGTGAGTTGTGATCGCGCCACTGTGCTCCAGGCTGGGTGACATGGCGAGACCCTGTCTCAAAAAAATAAATAAAATAAAATAAAATAATAGCACGGTATAACAAAGCAAAGAAAGTGCAAAATTCTTATAGATGAGATAAATCAATAAAGTCTCAATATCTATTTCAGCTGATGCAACAACAAACTTCGCAACACCACTGGGTCCTCCAGGCGCCATCAGTTTGGTTATCAGTTTCTGTTTGACAGTCATCCATGCCAAGCCCCACAGTGTCTCTGCATTGTGCTACATAAGTAATGAGCAGCATTCTCAGTTTATTAAGCTGATTAGCTAGAACAAATTAATATGTAATAGATCGGAGATGGGGAAGCACTGTGTTAAAACACACACAAGCACACACACACACAAAAGCAGCAGCCAAAGCACTCAAGGAGACATAGATCAAAAATGAAGTTGAATTTCAGGTAGATTCATTAAAGTAGAAGCTCCAGAACATTATGTGCAATGTTTCTGTAAAAATCTATGCATCTGTTTGGCCACTATTTAATTAAATGGTACATTCCATTTAAGTAACAGTTCTGAAACTGTTCTCATTTTGTTTTAATCATTCTCAAAAAATATATATTTAAATTTAGTGATATAGTATGGAATCCTTAAAAATGAACAGTAATTTTACACTGCTTCTCTGAGGACATAGAAGATAATATATTATTCGTATCACAATTGATTTTTTTCTGACTTTTTCCTCTGAAAGGAAAAGTGTATCAACTTCAAAACCTTTGGGTATTTCTTGACATGACTTCTTCACTCTGTCACAAACAGCTTTGAAATATCCATCATTCCTCTCAGATGATAAACAACTATATTGCTCTTTTTTTTTTTTTGAGACGGAGTCTTGCACTGTCACCCAGGCTGGTGTGCAGTGCCGCGATCTCGGCTAGCTGCAACCTCCGCCTCCCAGGTTCAAGTGATTCTCCTGACTGAGCCTCCTGAGAAGCTAGGATTACAGGCACCCGCCACCACACCCAGCTAATCTTTTGTATTTTTAGTAGAGGCAGGGTTTCACTATGTTGGCCAGGCAACTCCTGACCTTGTGATCTGCCCGCCTCGACCTCCCAAAGTTCTGGGATTACAGGCGTGAGCCACCGCGCCTGGCTGCTCTATTGTTAAAGACAAAAAAATGTCTACATTTTCATTTGGAAATTCTTTAGAAAGAATTCCTGAAACAGGGTAATAGATACCTTTCTGGGTATCTGCCAGGCTATGCTTATCTTATCTTGTGTTAAAACTAACCTCTACTAATCAGGTTGATAATACATGACCCAGAAATCCTGGCCATATAACTTGATCACAAGTGGTCACTTGGCCCAAGCTGCCAATCAGATCCTCTCTCCCAGGAATTTAAACTCAATGACAACCTCTCTGGTGGCCTTGAATTGAGTCCTCATGTAGGGGCTCAGGAAGTCATTTCTACCCAATGTGGGGAGAAACAGAAGTCGGGGGTTGGTTGGGGTGGAGGGGCGGTTAGAATACAGTGACAATAGAATATGTTGCAGGAGAAAGACACAAACATGGACACAGATGCTGACTGGCGACTATGTCTACCAGCCTTCCAGTTCCCGGTTCTAGTCCCTGAGAACCTGGCTGTCCTTTCTGCCCTTGGGCATCATAGGCTTTACTTGATTCCTTACAAAGACAAATAAATTCTTCAATTTATGTTAGTTCCAGTGGGTTTCTTATAATAAAACAGCCCCTGATTAAAATAAATTGTTTAAACCACAGATAATTTCAAATGTAAAACCAATGTTAGCAAACTGTTTGATTTACTAGCCACAGACTTGCTCAATATAACTTACAATATTTCAATAATCTCTCTTCAAAGCTGCATAAACAGCATTATTCAAAGAACTGGCAGAATTAAGTTCTGTCACTTCCTATCAAACCTCATTGTTGTCAGATCCAAAGAATGAACACGGCTCATTCTTTCCACAAACATTTATTAAACCTCTCTAAATGCCAGATACTCAACTAGAGATTGGGAATAAAGTATGAGCAAACAGGCTCACTCTTTGCCCTATTTAAATACAGTACACAAAAACACAAATGGAATAATTTCTTCTAGAGTTAATTGCTACAGAGTATGACTAGGATGGCTATATTTACAAACAGGTGTTTATATGACACTCATGGCTCTTTTTATGTGAATAGCTGCTATAGCTGGAAAATTTTCAGCCACTTCAGTTGCACCATCCTAGACCTTAACGTGTATTTCATTTAAATCAATCTTGATCACTGAAGATTCACATTTCCAATATCATTTAAGTAATAGAATATGTTGCAGGAGGAGTTGTGTCTTCTGCAATTGTGAGATTCAAGGACTTCTCTTTACTTAGGATATCCTTTAACATTTTTCAATAGAATCTTATACAAATTGGCAACTCTTTTACTGGCCAACAATTGTCTCTTCACAGTAAAAGACCTGAGGAAACAATAATATCATTCCTAATGTACTATAATCTTCTGATCTTTTTTATTTCAATTATTTAACTTTGAATGGGGATAATTCTGTAAGAATCAATTAGTGAGTAGAAATACGCCCTCTCTCATCTCTCATTCTCATTCTCATTAACTGCAGTTTCCTTTACTTACAATGAAACAGATTTACAGAAGTACTATTTTCCAATACATAAAATATTTTGAAAAATAAGTTTAGTTACATGCTATTTTCATTAATCTGCTTGCAGAGGGCAGAGTAAAATATATAAAGATAAAATTGATTCAGACTCCAAATCTGCAAATGACTGTACATTCTTCCTGTTTTCTGAATTGTTAAGAGCAATGTTCCAATTACAAATTCCTTGTATAATAAATAACTTCTAAAGATCAAATTTCTGTTGGCAAAAGGCTGATACAACAGAATGCCACATTCTTTATAACACATACTTCAACCAACGAAAATCTGAACACTAAAGATTCATTAATTTATGCATGCATGCATTCATTCTATTTCTTCAACAAATATTTAATTGAATATCTTTACTGTGCTAGAGACTAAAGATTTAATTTAATAAACACAACAGTCTCCATCTCTAACTTTATTGAGCTTAAGTTATGAAATAAAATTACTGTAAGTTCTAGTAAATTACTGAATACTTTGATTCAGCGTTGGTTAGAACTATAGTTTAAACTGGCCAAGCGCGGTGGCTCATGCCTGTAATCCTAGCACTTTGGGAGGCCGAGGTGGGCGGATCACTAGGTCAAGACATCGAGACCATCCTAGCCAACATGGTGAAACCCTGTCTCTACTAAAAATACAAAAATTAGCTGGGCATGGTGGCCAGTGCCTGTAGTCCCAGCTACTCAGGAGGCTGAGACAGGAGAAACACTTGAACCCAGGAGGTGGAGGTTGAAGTGAGCCGAGATTGCTACATTGCACTCCAGCCTGGTGCTAGAGCAAGACTTGGTCTCAAATAAATAAATAAATAACTATAGTTTAAACCATACACCACAAGTTTTCAATGAGATTTAATGAGAAACTTTAGATTTAAAAAATTGTTTATATAAAAATGTTAAGACTGCAAAGCACTGAGTTAGCCATTACCCTTTGCTTGGAAACAAAAAGGAGAAGGTTAGAGAATATTTATCTATTATTTACCGTAGAATATAATTTAAATCTATACTTACTCATTTTCCTCTTACAGTATAATTAGGTTTCCTTAGAGGTCTGTTTCTTTAAAAAGGCAAAGAGCTGGCCGAGCACAGTGGCTCACGTCTGTAATCTCAGCACTTTGGGAGGCTGAGGCGGGCGGATCACAAGGTCAGGAGTTCGAGACCAGCCTGGCCAATATGGTGAAACCCTGTCTCTACTAAAAATACAAAAATTAGCTGGGTGTTGTGACACGTGCCTGTAGTCCCAGCTACTCAGGAGGCTGAGGCAGGAGAATCGCTTGAACCCAGGAGGCGGAGGTTGCAGTGAGCCGAGACCGTGCCACTGCATTCTAGCCTGGGGGACAGAGCGAGATTCTGTCTCAAAAAAAAAAAAGGCAAAGACCTTTTCTGTTTGCTGTGATAGTTATCTTCCAAGAGTCTGTAAAACTATATAACCTTTCAATTAAGTGTGTTTGTATTAGAATACTACATTTGTTAAAATGTGTGTTGCTGAGAAGTGTTTGTTCATCTAAAGACGAATATTATGTTGATTGTAGGAGGCTGAATTCTATCACAAATATTGTGGTAATTAAACACTATGACCTTACTGATCTTGTATACAATAGATTTAAGGTTGCTAAAATTAATGGAAAGCCCAGAAATAAAACCACGCTTCTACAGCTAACTGATTTTTGACAAAGGTGCCAAGAACACACATTGGAGAAAGGACAGTCTCTTCAATAAATGGTGTTGGGAAAACTGCATATCCACATGAAGAGGAGTAACACTAGCCCTTACCTTTCATCATATACAAAAATCAACTCAAAAAGGATTAAAGAGTTAAACGTAAGATCGGAAACTATGAAACTACTAGAAGAAAACATAGGAGAAATGCCTCGTCACAATTGGTCTCAGTAAGAATTTTTTGGAAAAGCTCTCAAAAATACAGAAAGCAAAAGCAAAAATATATAGATTACATCAAACTAAGAAGCTTCTGCACATCAAAGGAAACAATCAACAGACTGCAGAGACAACCTACAGAATGGGAGAAAATATTTGCAAATTATACATCTAACAAGAGGTTAATATGTGGAATATATAAAGAATTCAAGCCACTAAATAGAAGAAAATAATCCAATTAAAAATGAGTAAAAGACCTAAAGAGACACTTTTCAAAAGACATATAAATGGTCAACCAGTATATGAAAAAATGTTCAACATCACTAATTATCAAGGAAATGCAAATCAAAACCACAATGAGATATCATCTCACTCCAGTTACACAATGGCTACAGTCAGCTCTCTATCCGTGGGTTCCACATCCATGCGTTCAGCAAACCAGTTGATCAAAAATATTCAAAAAACAGGCTGGGTGCGGTGGCTCATGCCTGTAATCCCAGCACTTTGGGAGGCCAAGGCAGGCAGATCTCGAGGTCAGGAGTTTGAGACCAGCCTGGCCAACATGGTGAAATCCTGTCTCTAAAAACAAAAATTCAAAAAACAAACTGCATCTGAACTGAACATTTACAGACTTTTGTCATTATTCCCTGAACAATACCATATCACAGCTATCTACGTAGAATTTACATTGTATTAGGCATTATAAGGAATCTAAAGATGATTTAAAGTACAAACATAAGGCAAAGACATTCTGGGTTTGGTTCCAGACCAATGCAATAAAGCGAGTATCACAATAAAGCAAAGTCATATAAACTTTTTGGTTTCCCAGTGCATATAAGAGTTATATTTACTATACTATAGTCTATTAAGTGTATAATAGCATTATGTCTAAAATAAAATGATAATACCTGATTTTATTTTTTTTAATTTATTTGTTATTATTATTATACTTTAAGTTTCAGGGTACATGTACACAATGTGCAGGTTAGTTACATATGTATACATGTGCCATGCTGGTGTGCTGCACCCATTAACTCGTCATTTAGCATTACGTATATCTCCTAATGCTATCCCTCCCCCCTGCCCCTACCCCACAACAGTCCCCAGAGTGTGATGTTCCCCTTCCTGTGTCCATGTGTTCTCATTGTTCAATTCCCACCTATGAGTGAGAACATGCGGTGTTTGGCTTTTTGTCCTTGCGATAGTTTACTGAGAATGATGATTTCCAGTTTCATCCATGTCCCTACAAAGGACATGAACTCATCATTTCTTGTGGCTGCATAGTATTCCATGGTGTATATGTGCCACATTTTCTTAATCCAATCTATCATTGTTGGACATTTGGGTTGGTTCCAAGTCTTTGCTATGGTGAATAGTGCCGCAATAAACATACGTGTGCATGTGTCTTTATAGCAGCATGATTTATAGTCCTTTGGGTATATATCCAGTAATGGGATGGCTGGGTCAAATGGTATTTCTAGTTCTAGATCCCTGGGGAATCGCCACACTGTCTTCCACAATGGTTGAACTAGTTTACAGTCCCACCAACAGTGTAAAACTGTTCCTATTTCTCCACATCCTCTCCAGCACCTGTTGTTTCCTGACTTTTTAATCATTGCCATTCTAACTGGTGTGAGATGGGATAATACCTGATTTTAAAATACTGTATTGCGGCCGGACATGGTGGCTCACTCCTGTAATCCCAGCACTTTGGGAGGCGAAGGTGGGTGGATCACCTGAGGTCAGGAGTTCAAGACCAGCCTGGCTAATATGGTGAAGCCCCGTCTCTACTAAAAATATAAAAATTAACTGGGTCATGGTGGTGTGCACCTGTAATCCCAGCTACTTAGGAGGCTGAGGCAGAAGAATCGCCTGAACCTGGGAAACAGAAGTTGTAGTGAGCTAAGATCGCACCACTGCACTTCAGCCTGGGAGACAGAGCAAGACCCTGTCTCAAAACAAAAATACCAAAAAATAAAAATACAAATAAGAATAAAATACTGAATTGCTAAAAAATGCTAACAATGATGTCAGCCTCCACCAAGTCACAATCTCTTTGCTACTGCAGGGTCCTGCCTTGATGCTGATGGCTCCTGACTGATTACAGTGGTAGTTGCTGAAGGGCGGCATGGCTATGGCAATTTCTTAAAATAAGACAACAATGAAGTCTGCCACATTAATCGACTTTTCCCTTCAGGAAAAATTTCTCTATAGCACAAGATACTGTCCGATAGAATTGTACTCAACAGTAGAACTTCTTTCAAAACTGGAGTCAATCCTCTCAAACCCTGGCGAAGCTTTATCAACTAAGTTTATGAAATATTCTAAAGCCTTTGTTGTCATTTCAACAATGTTCATAGCATCTTAACCAGAAGTAGATTCGATCTCAAGAAACTACTTTCTTTGCTTATCTGCAAGAAGCAACCTTCTTCATCAGTAAAAGTTTTACCATGGCATTGTAGCAATTCAGTCACATTCTCAGGATCCACTTCTAATTCTAGTTCTCTTGCTATTTCCAACACATCTCAAGTGACAAAGTGCACTGTCAATGAGCAATAATATTTTGAAAGGAATCATTTTTTCTGAGCAGTAGTTCTCAACAGTGGCTTTCAGTAAACCGTGCTGTAAACAGATGATTGTTATTCTACTGTAGAACACAGGCGGAGTTAGATTTAGCATAATTCTTATGGGCCTTAGGATTTTCAGAATGATAAATGATCCTTGGCTTCAAATTAGTCACTAGCTGCCTTTGTCCCTAATCAGAAAGTCAGTCTATCCTTTGAGGCCAGGCATTGCCTTCTTAACTATGACAGTCCTAGACGGCATCTTCTTCCAACATAAGCCTGTTCCATCTACACTAAAAATCTGTTGCTAAGTGTAGCACTTCATCAATGATCTTAGCTAGATCTGAATTACTTACTGCATCTTCTGTATGAGCACTTGCTGCTTCACCTTGCACTTCTGTGTGATAGAAATGGCCTCTTTTCTTAAATCTCATGAACCAACTTCTGCTAGCTTCAAATTTTCTTCTGCAACTTCTTCACTTCTCTCAATCTTAGAATTGAAGAGAATTAGGACTTGTTCTTGATTAGGCTTTGGCTTAAGGGAATCTTGTGGCTGGTTTGATCTTTCATTCAAACAAAACCTTCTCCATATCAGCAATAATTTTTTCACAGTCTTATAATTCATGTGTTTACTAGAGTAGCACTTCTAATTTCCTTCAAGAAATTTTTCTTTGCATTCACAACGTGGTTAACTGTTTGGCCAAGAGGCCTAGCTTTCAGCCTGTCTCAGCTTTCAACATGCCTTCCTCACTAAACTTCATCATTTCTAGCTTTTGATTTAAAGTGAGAGGTGTGGGACTCTTCACTTGAACACTTAGAGGACACTGCAAGGTTACTAACTGGCCTAATTTCAATACTGCTGTGTCTCAGGGAATAAGGAGGCCCAAGAAGAGGGAGAAAGGAAAAAGGACGATCAGTACAGCAATCAGAACATACACATTTATTGATTAAATTCACTATCTTATATGGGTATGTATGTTATGGCATCTCAACACAATGACAATAGTAACATTCAAGAGTCAACAATCACAGATCACCATAACAGAATAATAATGAAAAAGTATGTGGAAACGCTTCATGATTTAGAAAGCAAAAATTTTTAAGTTTAAAAAAATAATAATTAAAAAGTTTGAAATGGTACAAAAATTACCAAAATGTGACACAAAGGCATGAAATAAGCACACGCTTTGGGGAAATGGCCCTGATAAACTTGCTCAACACAGGATTGCCACAAACCATCAATCAATTTCAAAGAAAAAAAAAAATCCTTGTTGAAGCACAATAAAATGAGGTTTGCCTGTACACAGGAAGATGGGCATAGGTTATATGTGAATACTATGCCCTTTTATATCAGGGACTTGCACAGGACATCTTGGAACCAATCCCCCATGGATATTGAGGGATAACTGTATTATTAAAAGGACAAAAGATCTGGGCATGGTGGTGTGTGCCTGTAGTCTCAGCTACTTAGGCTGACGCAGGAAGAACACTTGAGCCCAGGAGTTCAAGTCCAGCCTGGGCAACATAGCAAGACTGTCTCAAAAAAAAAAAAAAAAAAAAAAACAAGCCAGGCATAGTGGCTCACGCCTGTAATCCCAGCATTTTGGGAGGCTGAAGCAGGCAGATGATGAGGTCAAGAGATCGAGACCATCCTGGCCAACATGGTGAAACCCTGTCTCTAAAATACAAAAATTATCCGGGCGTGGTGGTGGGCACCTGTAGTTCCAACTACTCCGGAGGCTGAGGCAGGAGAATTGCTTGAACCCGGGAGGTGGAGGTTGCAGTGAGCCAAGATCACATATGTGTGTGTATATATATGTGTATGTTATATATATACATATATACATACATATATATGTGTTTTTTAAAAAAAAAACTCATCTTTCTAATTCTATGAACTTTTATAAATATAGTTTCCATGATCAATTACCTTTTCCTTTTATTTGGCTGTGAGCTGCTTAACACTAGAATCTTGACTCATTTTAGCATAAGAATTGCCATTATACAATGTTCACTTATTATTTATTTATTATAGAGCATACTGTGGGCTAAATTAAGTCCCCAATGTATAATGACGATATCCAACAATAATTTGCTAGAATATAATTATGTTATATGATGAGTGACAGTCCTAATACACTAATCACAAATGTTATTAAAGGTTTCCCATGAAGAGCTTATAGTAATGAGAGGATATAGGGTAACAGCAAATGCTTCCTAACATAAACCCATGCTACTAGAAAGATGCCTGTGAAGTCACATTATTTTTGTCTCAAGACTGTGGACTGACCACACACACTCATTTCTTCTCTAAGACCCCCTCCAATCCCGTTAAATGATAGTGAATACAGAAAGATAAAATCCCAAACAACAGGAAGATGAAGAGGAAGGGAGGAGAGTAGTTAATCAGTAGATGAGAAAGTTTAGCAAATTGCTAGAGACAGAATGCAGATGGAAGTGTAGTACTTGACAAGATAGGGCAGAGGAAAGCTTTGACCTGTAATAATGTGAGGAAGAGGCTACTGATGAGGAGGAAGCCATCTGTCCTAGTAAACCCATAAAAGTTTCTAGTTATCCAGTGTAAGGGGAGGCAAGAATGAGACACAGGGCTAAGAACAGGAAGAGTAAGCAAAAGCTCCTCACGGAATAGTCTATATACGTACCCCCTGAAAATGACAGGGTGATCAGGTATGTATGCCCAGGTATTCAATGAAGAAATAGAACAAACTATTTGAGGAGAGCTAGAGCAGTTGACTCACATCTGGCCCATCATTCATCCACACATTCCATAAGCCTTGCTCACCTACTCAGAAGTCCCAATCACTATTTTATTGTCTATCTTAAACAGAAATGAATACCTTTTATTTGAAGAAAAACTATAGCATAAAAGAGGGAAAAAATATGATAAACAAAAATATAATCCCTAGGGAAAATTAAAATAATTCAGATAACAGAAGAAAACATTTTTTTTGAATCTCTAAATTTTATTCTTTGAAGGAATTTAAAGGACCTATATTCATAAAATAAGAACAAGATGCTGAGAATGAGAAACAGTGCAAGAAAGAGTTCCTAGAAATTAAGATACCTAATTGTGACTGTAGTAATAAAAAATTATCGGATGGGCTAAAGGAAAACAGAAGGGTAGAAAGAGGAATAGAATCTGAGCAAGTTATTTGAGAATGGGTGCCAGCAAGATAAGTAGGTAACCTGTTTATCAAGAAATCATTCTACAAAACATAGAATCTACGATACATAGATTCTACAAAACAAGGTCAAATTCAAAAAAGTAATAAAGGCAAATCTCACAGTGATAATTATGCAGGAACAGGCCTCCAGAGCAATCGTTCAAGCAATTTATAGGCAAGGCACAGAAGACAACTACAGATTTAGAACGGACAGTAAGTTAACAATCTTGAAAATGCAAAAGGAAAATAACCAAAGACAAAAGCTGGGAGGTGAAGGAAGAGGAATTGAAGGAAGGGCAGGGGCTAATATATTCATCTCATAAAATGCAGAGGCAAAAGACACAGTATCTATGGTTAATGTAAAACTAAAGAATATACTACCCTAAGTATTCACCATTCTTGCTTAGAGATTGTCCTTAAGTAATAACGAAGCTAACTGTGTACCAGGTACCAGGTACTTACTAAGAATTCTTAGGGGTTATTCATTAACTGTGTAATACAATGTCTAAAGTGATCCATTAAAAAAAGTAAGTAAAAATTTTTAAGCTACAGGGTAACCAACACAGGAACCAATAATGGTGATATAACTACATTAAGAAGGAAAAGAAAACAGAGTTAAGGGGCATAGGGAAAACAGGCTGATGCTTCATGTATCAGCGCAGGAAGTCAAAAGATAACAATGTCTAAAACTGATAAGGCAAGAAACGGAGGCAAAAGTATATTATTTAAAGATATGGAGATCATCCCCAGAGAGCTAAACTGAAAATTTTTAGAATCTGCAAGTGATTCTCTCAGGAAACTGGACTGGGAGAGAAGACTACTGGTTTCATGTATCAAAAAATTCCAGTACTTTTACGTTTTTAACCACATGAATTATTTACTTTGATCATTTCTTTTAAATTTAGTTAATAATTTTTTCAAAAAAAAAGTAGTCGAATCTGTCCTACTACTTCAGACAGGTAAAATTATTTTATATTTTAATGGTTTCCAGAAAATGGTCTAATAATGCAAGGCTGACAAGTCAGCATGTCCAACATTTCTCATTTAATCTTGCATTTGATAAATTAGTATCAAGTGATTCTACAGAATATAGTACTAAGAATACAAAATACTATACAGAGACATGGCCCCTCCTGGCATGTAATGGTAAAACACACTGGTCCAATGGTCAAAAAGCGGTTTACCCATCTGTTCCATGTTTAATATCCATGTACTTTATTTTTCTTTTTAGGAATAGGAAAAACCTTAATAGGCTGTTCACCACAAGAATAGGTTCAAGAGAGAAAATTCCTGGTGAGATTACCAACACTAACCAACCAAAGCCACTGTGATTTCCACACTAGGCTAGAGGTTCAGTATTGGTAATAGTGACAGAGAAAAGCTGATACAGTCTAGAGGGCTGCTGTAGCTGATGGGCTAAGTCCAATGACAGATCTTCCATACTATCCATCCAAGATCAATAACTTATGGTCCAGGAACTCAAGCCAGCCCACAGACACATTCAGTTTAGCCTGCATAATATTGGCCAACTCCATGTTTTTAATTTTGAAAAAGTAGCAACATCTAAAACTGACAGAATTCAGGTAAAACTTCAGACGTCCACCTTCTCTCAATAAATCAGTAAAGGTAACTCCCCTTAAGTGACAGGGCGTCCCAGTTTGCCACACCTAGCCTGTTTCCCTCACTATATTACCAATCTAGCCCTTGTAGACCGTTTGTATCTCTGATCCTTGCTATAAAGGAGATAACATGTTGATATGCCTAAGCCATGCCAAGAGTTTTTGAGGTAGGACTCTTACACTTCGGTAACAACAGGAGATAAATCAGTGACAAGTCGTGGCGCAGCGGTTCCACAGGGGGGTTAGCAGCAGTGATGGACAGCAGCCACTCCTACCTAAAAACTGTTTCGAAATGGCCAGGTATTCTAAAGCAGTGGACTCTTTATTGAGTATTACGTAAAAGCCGCCTATAGAGAAAAAAACACATAAAAATTACCGGGCATGCCTAAATATTAGGAATTTCTGTGCATGCCTATTTAACCACAACGTATTCCCTGCCAACTGCCTTACTTTTAATCAAACTAGAATTGAATGGCAGATAAGAAAAGTGGTAAATGCTAGTGAACAATATCTTAGGAGATAACAACTAACAGCCGGAAATGAAAACTAAAGCACAAAGTCCAATAGCTGACACTGTAACCTACATTTTGAGTAAAATAGTCATCATTTACTTACACTTTAATGTCTCTCCAGCATATGGTATGTGCAGTTTAAATCGGTCACAGTTGGGCCCAGGAGTCAATGATGTGCAGCTTTAAAAAATGCAGAAACAGAAGAAAGAAAAGATTTTTTAAAAACAAACTTTAAAAACCCACATGTTTATGATACTAAACAAAACAGGATCTTTATACAAAACAGATTAAAACACTGGCTTACAGAACAAAATAAAAGCCTTTAATAGTCATGGAAGCCAAGACATGAAGACTCGTCCTAAAACAAATAATTCATTTATTTCACAATAAAACTTACATGTGTTCTAACGACAAACATCAACAGTGTGCTTCAACTACTTTTCTCAAAGAGGCATATCTCGACTTTTAAAATTAGGTATATTATCCAAAACACATGTCTATTCTTATGCCAAGAACTGTAAAATAAGAATAGTTTTATGATCATATTTTAAATATGGACTCTTAGCTTTCATTCTGTTAGTACAAAAAAGAGCCCACTTTTAGCCTTTTTCTGGTACCAGATGGTTTTCTTTCCTTCCACAAAGGTTCAGTGCTTCCTTTAGATTTGGCACACCATAACTTTCATCTGCAGGAAAGCACAATGCATACTCAATTTCAAGTAAAATGCAAATTTAAAAGGTGGGGGGTAGTTATCCAGGTCTCAACAGTTTGGTATTTTCTTTTTGTTTTGTTTTTCAAGACAAGGTCTCACTCTGTAGCCCAGGCTGGAGTGCATTGGTGCAATCTCTGCTCACTGCAGCCTCAATCTCTCAGGCTCAAGCTCCTCCCACTTCAGCTTCCCAAGCAGCTGGGACCACAGGTGCACACCACCACACCTGGCTTTTTTTTTTTTTTTTTTTTAAGAGAGGAGGTCTCACTATGTTACCCAGGGTGGTCTCGAACTCCTGGGCTCAAGTGATCCTCCTCCCACCTAGCCTCCCAAAGTGTCAGGATCACAGGCATGAGCCACTGCACCTGGCCTGGTTTTTTTTTTTTTAATCTATTATTTCACAAAGTTATACAATGTTTCTTGCTCTTCACAGATCTGCTGTACAAGATAATTTTTATCTTAGAAGTCATAAGTTCAACTGCATAACAGCTGCATGGGCTTCATAAGTTAATAAAATATTAATATGAAGTCAATTGAGAAAGTAATATGTCTTCATTTTGTTTTAAAAAGATGAGAGTTTTAATTTACAAACGAAAGCAAGGAGGCTAATTTTCTTTCATAATTCCAAAACTGGCTGTGAAGCAATTCTAAAAAAGAACCTATAAAAGTAATTTAACGGATGGATGCATAGTTGAAATAAATGTACAACTTCCCTACATGGCAACTTGGAAGGGCAAGAGTCATTTAAAAATAAATTCAAAAAATTTTGGCTTTAAGTAACTCAGACCCCACGTTAAAGATTTACTATTACTTTTCCCCAAAACGATTTGAATGTGAAAAAGAACCAGACAGTGGCCAGGCGCAGTGGCTCACACCTATAATCCCAGCACTTTGGGAGGCCAAGGCAGGCAAATCACTGGAGGTCAGGAGTTCAAGACCAGCCTGGCCAACATGGTGAAACCCCATCTTTACTAAAAATTCAAAAATTAGGCCAGGCGCGGTGGCTCACATCTGTAATCCCAGCCCTTTGGGAGGCTGAGGCAGGCGGATCACGAGGTCACGAGATGGAGACCATCCTGGCCAACATGGTGAAACCCTGTCTCCACTAAAAATACAAAAATTAGCTGGGCATGGTGGCACGCACCTGTAGTCTCAGCTACTCACTTGGGAGGCTAACTCAGGCGAATTGCTTGAACACGGGAGGCGGAGGTTGCAGTGAGCCGAGATCCTGCCACTGCACTCCAGCCTGGGCACAGAGCAAGACTCCATCTCAAAAAATAAAAAATAAAAAAATAACCAGGCATGGTGGCAGGCACCTGTAATCCCAGCTACTCAGAAGGCTGAGGCAGGAGAATCGTTTGAACCTGGGAGGTGGAGGCTGCAGTGAGCCAAGACTGCACCACTTTGCTCCAGCCTGGGTGACAGAGTGAGACTCTGTATCAAAAAAGAAAAAAAAAAAAAAAACAGAAACTTTAACAAGGGTATGTTTAACATAAATCACTAAGTTGATTATTCCTCATTATCTTCAGGGGTCAATAAAAATACCAGTTTATAAACTAAACAACTAAGTTGCACCAGTAATTGAATGGTAACAAATTTTTATATTTCACAGGTTTTAAGAATACTTTCTCATTTTCCTTTCAATATAAAAAAAATTTCTCAGAGTACATTTTAGAGGCATCATATTTCCCTTTTAGTGTAATCTTTTCTACCCCACAACACAGTAGTTATTTTAAAAGACTACAGAAAACACATAAATTCTAGCATTATGAAGTACAATCTAATGACGGTAATGAGCATCATGTCATTATGAGCATGCTGTTATGAGCCCTATAACCAACACTAAGATTTTTCCTTTTCTATTGCATTCAACTGCAATGCTTTAAATTTATGAAAAACACCATTCACAATCAAGGATCTTTTTGGGGCTTGGGGATCAAATTATCTAACTATGCAGCTTAAAGACTGAAGTTATTCGAAGTACAGGAAATCGTCAGGATTAACCTGATTCCAGTTTGTTTGAATAACTCACTCCTTCTTCAATGACAAATTGTTTTTTTCCCGAATGGTTACACTCATTATTGGGCCACACTTTTTATTATATACTTTAACCAGAACTGGTTAAGTGTTTTTGTGCCCTGCCATGTCACCTTCCTCCCTTACTACATCAACAGCTGGTTCCAGCAACCTCAGTGTATTAAAAGGTACATTTCTAAGGGGGATAGGAAGAGATTTGTTAAAGGATACAAAATTATAGCAAGATAAGAGGAATACATTCTGGTGTACTATACCACTGTAGATGACTAGAGTTAACAATAATAAATAGTTTCAAATAGCTAGAAGGAGGATATTGACTGTTTCCATCACAAATAAATGATAAATGTTTGAGATGAGGATATGCTAATTACCCTGATCTTATTACTATACACTATATGTAACAAAACATCATTATATACCCCATAAATATGTACAATTCCTATGTGTTGACTAACAAATTATAGTTTTATGAAAAAAAAAATATTTCTCTATCTCTGTGTTTCATTCACTGATTTTTTTCATTTAGATAAGATTTATCAAGCATTGCTCTAGGTGTTAGGATTATAGGACTGACGAGACAGAGAAGATCTACCGTCTCATGGTACTTAAATTCTAGTGAGGGAAGAAGAAAACGATAAACAAGAGACAAACACATAAAGATGGTTTAGGATTGCTAAATGCTATGAGGAAAATAAAACAGGGTGCTGCACTGAAGCAAGAGCTACTTTACACTGGAAGATCAAAGAGGACCTCTGGAGGAGGTGAAATCCGAAAACTGAATAACACAAAGGGGCCCACCATGCCAAGTTCTGGGAAAGAGCATTCCAGGCAGAGCAAACAGCTGGTGCAAAGGTGTGAAGGCAGGAACAAGCTTGGTACATCTGGGGAAGAAATCTTGATATATCTGGGCAATGCGGCTGGAGCACAGTAAATGAGGGAGAGAAGAACAAAAGATTAGGACACAGTAAATGAGGGAGAGAAGGGCAAAAGATTAGGACACAGTAAATGAGGGAGAGAGGGGCAAAAGGAAGGGACAGATCACACTGGACCTGCAAGTGGTTGCAATTCATTCAGCTTTTATGCCAAGCACAAAGCAGGGTTTTTAGCAGAAGAGTAAAAACATCTATGTTTTTAAAAGACCACTTTGCCTACTGTACAGAAAAAAAAAAAAAGACCACAAGAGATAAAATGAACATAGCCAGACCAGGGAGGAGACCATTTTAGTCAACAAAGATGATGGTGCAAAACCAACATGCATTTGTAGATGGTATCACCTACTTCTCTGCTATCTACAGAGATCCTTGCCTGTCCATTTTCTAGCTCTGGTGCAGTAATAATGCTGCTGCTTCAGTAAACATTCACTTCACAGTCTTCAGTGAGGAGACAGTGTTCTGTGATGTGGGAGTTGAGCAGAGTGTAGCCCACCTGGCAGATAAGGCCCACACTCAGGCGCATGAGAGCAAGAATGGCGCTGGAAAGGAACGAACAGGGTCACAGAGGGCAGAGACCATTCCCCTCAGCCTCTCACCTTCAGTCATGGAGAGGAGTGTTTCAGGGTGTGGTTATCTACCTGGAATGGGATGAGGAGCTCTGCTGCCCAAAGTCTCTACTATTTAAGGAAAGACATCGCTACATAGCTGGCTATAAGGAACAGGGATTGCAAACCTCTAAGGGTTGTAGGAAGGCCAGGGCAGCTGGGAGCAATGTGGATGAGTCTTGTGTTTACCCCCCAGGGATGCTTACTGGTCTCACCAGGTTTCTCAGTCTTCACTGGGACTGAAAACCCAATGCAGGTAGGATAATAATAATAATAATAACCACTTTAGATCTGAAAAAAGAAAGAAAGATGATGGATCCTTGGACTAGGGTAACAGCAGTGGAGATGAGACAAATGGATTTATTGAATAAGACTTCTAGGAAAGGAGCATGTTTAGGGAAAAGGAAATGGAGAGTTCAAAGTGTGAGATAATAACCAAATCTTCTATGGAAACAGTCAGGCTAATGGGTGGGCTAGCCAATCTATAAGGGCCACTAAAACATCACAGAAAAGATAGAAGAAAAATTTACAAAACCTCACCTTTGTGTTTTATGATATTGGAAAGATCACTTACTTTCCAATATCATAAGTGGGAATGGGGGACAGGGGTATGAAGAGTAATACTTCCCAAAAGCACACTCAAGTCAAAATTATAATCTCCAGTTAGGTGCAGGGATTCTGCTTTGCTGAGAGGAATCTACAAATGTGAGGCCAAGAGCCAAAGTGCTCAAGGGAACAGAGGAAAGCTGCCATTAGTAGGTCTCTTTCTCCTAAGTGGCACTCAGCTTGTCTTCCAATGAAATGTTGGGCAAATCATTTAAGATATGTTACATTCTATCTTCCTTATATTATCTAGGATAAATAGGTGTATAGGAAACAAGCCAGTGCCATGTACCTCAAGTTTCTTCTAAGATTAAACTGTTTCCTCTTCTTAAGTTACCTCTGTCTAAAATTGGTTTGGTCATGTTCTTTAATTTACTGTGAAAATTCAAGTTGCACAAGAGGAGGGTGCTCGTTTTTCTGTTAATCAAAAAAGAGCATAGGGGCAGGGCACAGTGGCTCACGCCTGTAATCCCAACAACTCTGGGAGGCTGAGGCAGGCAGATCACCTGAGGTCAGGAGTTCAAGACCAGCGGGGCCAACATGGTGAAACCCCATCTTTAGTAAAAATACAAAAATTAGCCAGGTGTGGTGTGCATGCCTGTAGTCCCAGCTACTAGGGAGGCTGAGGAAGGAGAATCGCTTGAGCCCAAGATACAGAGGTTGCAGTGAGCTGAGATCATGCCTCTGCACTCCAGCCTGGGCAACAGAGCGAGACTCTGCCTAAAAAAAAAAAGAGCATGGGTTTAAAAGAGCTTTCCTCTGTTGCCTTGAGGAGTTTGACTCTTGGCCCCAAATCTGTATATTCCTCTCAGCAAAACAGAAGGCCTGCAGCTAACTGGAGATTACCATTTTGACTTGATTGTGCTTTTGGGGAGTATTACCCACTCCCATCCCCACTTCAAGTAAGTGATCTTTCCAATGTCATATAGCACTAAGGGGAGTTTTGGTAAATTCTAAACCCATGGTAATGTTTAAAAAGCTTTAAAAATACATGGAAATAGTATGATTCCACTTATGGAAAAAGGACACTTGAAAGTATGTATATCTACACACATAGACAGATTTCAGAAGGAGAGTAACCAAAATGTGGCCGGATTTGAAATGATTTTTACAAGATTCTTCTAATTACTTTTCTGCATTTTTTTTTAAATTTTTTGAAACACGGTCTTGCTGTCACCCAAGCTGGAGTACAGTGGTGAAATCACAGCTCACTGAAGCTTCAAACTCCCGAGCTCAGGCGATCCTCCCACATCAGCCTCCCAGGTAGCTGGGACCACAGGCACATGCCACCACACTTGGCTAATTTTTTGTATTTTTAATAGAGGCAAGGTTTCACCATGTTGCCCAGGCTGGTCTCAAACTCCTGGAATTAAGTGATCCTCCTGCCTCAGCCTCCCAAAGAGCTGGGATTATAGGCATGAGCCACTGCACCCATCTGCTTTCTGCATTGTTTTGATTTTTATAATGAACATGAACTATGAACTATTTTACTATTATAATTTTTTTAGGAGACAGTGTCTTGCTCTAGAGCCCAGGCTGGAGTGCAGTGGCACAATTATAACTCACTGCAGCCTTGAACATCTGGGCTCAAGGAATCCTCCCACCTCAGTCTCCCAAGTAGCTGGGACTACAGGTGCACCACCACACTCAGCTAAATTTTTTTTTTTCTTTTTGAGACAGGGTCTCAGGGCTTTGCCCAGGCTGGTCTCGAATTCCTGACCTCAAGCAATCTTCCCGCCTCAGCCTCCCAAAGTCTGGGATTATAGGCATGAGCCACGGTTTTACACAATTATAAAATCTTTTAAGGCTAAATACAACCCTTTTCTATTTGACTAGGAAAACTTGGCTATGATGGCCTGATTTTATCTTTTTCTTTTAAAGTACTTCACTCCTTCTCAGAAGGAAAGAATTCAGGGTGATATACTGATGAACAGTCTTCAAGTAAGGCATATGAAAGTCTTTATACTGTGATATCACAAAACTTCACATTTCTAACATTTATTATCTTTCACAGTTTCTTTGGGTCGGAATTTGGGAATGGCTTGGCTGGGCAGTTCTAGCTTAAGGTCTCCCATGAAGCTGCTGTCATAAATCAGTAACAGATAACTAATAAAGCAGGGAAATTCACTCATCTAGAAAGCCATTTCCTTATACAAGTATGAAAAAGCTAGTAAAGAAAAAGCTACTGGCTACATTAAAATTATATTTATAGAATGGCAACTTGTCCTCACACATAGTTAGAGCCAAGGTTGAAAAAGCCAGTATTCCAAATTGAATCACTTTTAATTTAAAAATTATTTTTAAATATTTTAAAATTGCTGACGGTTAAGTATAATTTCAAATTTGTCTCTCAACTATATTTCATCAGTGTTCACTGTGTGTCTGGCACTAAGTGCTAGGAATATAGCAGTAACAAGAACAAAAAACATATCTTGGTGTTAGAGTACAGAAAGGATTTTGGATAAAAACTATGCTGTAAAAATATATCTTTTACCAATTTCAAATTACCTAAATATACCAGGAATGCACTATTTTAAAGTTTAACATGTGAGTGAACAAAGGGAGTTAAACTCACATTATACAGATTATGAAAGTGGGAATTATCAAGCGGGAATTCTTGATAGCATCAAAGGAGGTAGTTTAATCTAGTACTTTATTACAGAAATGGCAGTTAATCATTGACGCAATAAAATGCTGAGCGTAAGAACCTTCGCACATTCTCATCTGTTGAGTCTCTTATTTTACATTTAATCACATGACTCCCAGTATTATTTGTCTATTTTTCTCCTTGTGGCTTGTTTTCCCAACCAGATCATAAGATTCTAGTGTCAAGCGCTATGTTATACTCCTTTTTAAGTAAGTCCTAGTATAGCACCTAGCACAGTGCTAAGTATCCAGCACTGATGAAATTTTAGCATATTACTAACACTCATAAACTAAGTTCAAGAACTGTCATTTTACAGATGATGACATCAAAGAGCAAAGGGTCTCACTGGCACTCTGGGATTGGAAACCACTTACAGGACACGCTAACCATATCTTAGTCTCCATGGCCTAGGCATCTTTAAATCTCCAGTGTCTAGCACTGATATCCAGGAGGTGAACACTCCAACAACTATGTAGGAGGATAAAGGTTTGCTGAATGAATGCATATATCTTGACTCCTAGTGTTGTACTCTTTTCATGATTAAAAACAACAACAAGAAAAAAAGACTGTTGATTTAACTGGAATTGGGATGATGTGCTCATCCTCACCTCCAAGAAAGGCAAAAGTGTGATTATTTGTGGAAGGTTTTCCCTTTGAAGAACTGTACACACAACTCAGAATTTAAACTTTAAGTTATTACCTATAATTATTATATTTCCACAATAAACAAATAACAGCAGCTAATATTTGTCGGGCATTTACTAATGTGGCAGGCACTATTCTAAGCTCTTTAATTATATTAAACTATTTAAACTTACAGCAACCTTCCAAGATAGGTGCTGTTATTACCCCAATTTACAGATGAGGGCACTGAGGCACGTAGATGCTTATGTAACTTGCTAGTGAGTGACAGAGCTGGGATCCAAACCCAGGATGTCTGCCTCCATGGCCCACTTTCTTAATTACTACATTAAACCATCTCTCAATAATTTAAGAGAAAACCATCAGATTAATATCTTATGATTAGTGAATTATAAATCATAATTAGTGGCTTATAAAGATTTATAACTATAAATCTCATAATTGGTGAACTATAAATGTTTTCAACAAATGATATTTTATTAAGTACCTAGAAAAATGAGAAGTAAAAGATGACAAAATATTGCCAAAAAGAAGTTCTATTACATGCGTTCTAATGAAAAGAAAATTATTTATCAGTAATAAGTATAAAAACTGTAAACACATAAATCAAGGCTACAAGAGAGGGAACAAGCCCCCCGTAACTTGACACAGACTCTACAATGATGACACTGTTCACTGATTTAGCAAACTATATATATAAAGTTTAAGTAAATAATGAAAGGTAAATTTGGATTTGACTCCTCTTTAAATTATCATTTGTTCCTAGTTACTGAGATCCGACTCAAATGTTAAGGTTTCACTATAAAAAAATAAAAGTAGGCAAATTTTACTATACTTTATAGGCTTTTTAGTGACAGCCAAGAACTAATCTAGATTAACAAAGCTATATGAAGATATTCTACAACCTTTAAAACATTAGCAGTTTTAAAATAATGCAAAATATAAGAAAATATATTCTTTCTGGCTTAATAGGGCTAACCCTGTTTTTTGATACACTGTCTGGAAAAAAATAATGACTTAGACCATTTCTATTCTTCAAGCCACCTAAAAAGAACAAAGTAGATGAGTCCAGGGTTCCTTCCCTGAGTCTACGTCAGTTTCCTTTACCCTGACTATTAATTTACCATTTGGCATGTGTCCTACATAGCTTCCTGTTTTCTTGATAGTGACGTTTGTGCTAAACCAACAATATTTAACATCAGCTGAGAAGGAAGTCTTCAACTTTGGCAACCTAAAATAACAAGTGACTCTCAAATAAAATATGCTCAAAGATCAATAACCACCTTTTAAAAAAAAGTCACATATTACAGTAAATTACTGTTAACTAATATTAACTACATTTTCATCTTTTAGAATTTATTTTCTCTGAATTAAATCTAACATAGATTACTCAGTTTCAAAAATTATCATGGTTTCTAGACTGGATGCAGCAGTAAAGAAGCTGGAAGACTGACAAAGGGTATCTTAACATCTATCTAAATAATCTAAAACATGAGCATTTTATCTGCAAAGGCATCTGAACTGGTTCATGGAATCTTACATATTCAGCCTTGAAAGGGCTATAATTATACCCCATCTGACTGGCCAGACCAAATCCACAAGGTCAAGTCTTAGACCTTTTTACAAGCAAAAAGGACAAATTAAAATCGGTAAAAGAAGACAAAATTGCATTCAGATAGATTTTCTCGGTTGATTTTCAGGGGAATGGGGCTATGCATTTGATGACATATGATATTCTTGATACATCAAGTACATTCTATCTCTAAAGCCTAAAAACTATGGCTAGACCCTCCTAGAAAAAATGATACATTTAATTCTTAGCATAGGATTCCAAAATGCCATCACCAAAATAAGTGACTCAGCCCAGAATGTTTTAAAAATTACAAAATTAAAATATTCAAGAAAATGTGTTTGCCAGTTCATGTGGCGTCAACTGTTATTCTCAGCTTCTATGCCATATCTCCATTTATAAATGATAAACTTCAACTCTACTTTAGAGTAGGAAGTATTTTTAAATGTTGGTAGGTGTCCCTATAACAAAAATGTGGTTTAAATTACAATATGGTTTCAGTAGGAATGATGGGCTCACATACAGTTTTTAACAGCTAACTAGGATCGGGAAAAAATCCTTTAACTTTTTCAGATAGATGCTTAGCTTATTAATTTTCAACCTTTCTTCTTTTCTAATATGTGCATTTAATTAACTCTGCTAAGAGAATAAGAGGAAATTGATAGGATTATCTTAATAAGTACAAGTGTTTGATGAAATTAAACATCCATTCATAATTTTAAAAGCTCTCTATAAACTGGGATAAAAGGGAACTTCCTTAATGTGATCAAAGCTATCTACAAAAAACTTAAAGCAACATCATACTTAAAAACAAAACATTAAAATTTTTTTCTTTGAGATAGAGGATGAGACAAGAATACCAACTCTCATCACTTTAATTCAACATTGTACTGGAGGTCTTAGCCAGGATGGAGGAAATAAGGAGTATAAAAATTGGAAAAGAAGAAACAGAACTTACTTTTTTGCAGAAAATGTGACTGTGAACATAGAAAATTTTGTAAATGTTCATATGCACTATTGGAATGAATATGTGGGTTTAGCAAAGTTGTTAGAGCATACATAGAAGTCTATTGTATTTCCATATACCATCAACTGTCAGAAAATAAAACTTTTAGAAAGATGCCATCTAAAATAATATCAAATGATCAAATATATAGAAATAAATGTTACAATAGATGTGCAAGATCTCTATGCAGAAAGCTATTATTAAGAAGAAAATAAGTAAACAAATAAATGAACAGAGATATCATGTTCATGGATTAAAAGACTCATAATGAGGCCGGGCACAGTGGCTCATGCCTGTAATCTTAGCACGTTAGAAGGCCAAGTCAGGTGGATCACTTGAGCTCAAAAGTTTAAGACCAGCCTGGGCAACATGGAGAAACCCTGTCTCTACAAAAAATACCAAAAAGTTAGTGGGCATGGTGGCATGTGCCTGTAGTACCAGCTACTTGGGAGTCTGAGGTGGGAGGATCGCCTGAGCCAGGGAGGTCAAGACTGCAGTGAGCCATCATCACATCACTGCTCTCCAGCCTGAGCCACGGAGTGAGAAAAAAAAAGACTCATAATGAAAAGTTGTAAGTTCTCCCTAAATTGATCTGCAATCTGAAAGGCAGATTCTAAAATACAAATGGAATGCCAAGAACCTAGAATAGATCAGATGATCTTGAAGAACAAAAACTTGATAGGATTATTTACAATAAACAAAAGGTAGAAGCAATCCAAGTGTCCATCCATGGATGAATGGATAAACAAAATGTAGTACTATACATTATATATATATACAATACTATACATATACACACACACACACACAATGGAATGGCATATTATCCAGCCTTAAAAAGGAAGGAAATTTTGACACATGCTACAACATGGATACATCTTGAGGACCTTATGCTAAGTGAAATAAGCTGGTCAAAAAAGGACAAAGACTATATGATTCCACTTACATGAGGTATCTAAAGTAGTCAAATTCACAGTCAGAGAAAGTAGAACAGTAGTTGTAAGGGGCTGAGGAGAGAGGGAAATAGGAAGCTATAGTTTAATGGGTACAGAGTTTCCGATGGATAGTTGTAATGACTGTACTACAATGTAAATATACTTAATGCCACAGAACTGTATGCTTAAAAATGATTAAAATAGTAAATTTATGTTACATGTATTTTACCACAGTAAGAAAAACTTTGGTAGGAAATTTGCAATACTGGATTTCAAAATTTACTATAAATGTTAGTAATTAAAATACTCATGTTGGTACAAAAATAGACAAACCAGTAAAACAGAATAAAGAGTTCAGAGACAGACCCTCACATTTCTGGACACTTAATTTACGACAAAAGCATTTCTTCCATTAGTATCTACATATTTTTTCAGATTTCTTTTTCAGGTATGGCAGGTGAAAATACCACAATATAAGTAATATAAATTATTTTTACAGTGTTGTTAATTTTATCTTTATATCATTTTTAGCTTATATTTTATGTATGTTTTATAATCTATAAATATATTTTTATAAGTAAATATGCATGTAGCAGAGGTACACAATAAAATAATTTGGGGTGTGCTATAGACTGAATGTTAGTGGCCCCTCAAAATTCTTATTGGAATCTAATCCCCAATGTGTTGGTATTAAGAGGTAGGGCCTTTGAGAGCTGACTAGGTCATAAAACGGAGGCCTCATAAATAGGATTAGCGTCCTTATAAAAGAGGCCTGAGGGAGCTCGTCTGCCCCTTTTCCCTTCTGCCATGCAAGGACACAGAGAAGGCATCATCTATGAGGAACGGGCCCTCACCAGACACAATCTACCAGAGCCATGATCCTGGACTTTCTAGCCATCAGAACTGTGAGCAATAAACTTCTGCTGTTTATAAATTACCAAGTCTAAGGTATTTTGTTATGGCAACCCAAACTGACTAAGACAGGGTGCATAATTTAAAAAAACACTTTGGGCCGGGCGTGGTGGCTCACGCCTATAATTCCACCATTTTGGGAGGATGAGGCGGGCAAATCATGAGGTCAAGAGATCAAGACCATCCTGGCCAACGTGGTGAAACCCCATCTCTACTAAAAATACAAAAATTAGCTGCGCGTGGTGGCACGTGCCTGTAGCCCCAGCCACTTGGGAGGCTGAGGCAGGAAAATCGCTTGAACCCAGGAGGCGGAAGTTGCAGTGAGCCGAGATCGTGCCACTGCACTCCAGCCTGGCAACAGAGCAAGCCTCTGTCACAAAAAAAAAAAAAAAAAAAAAAGTTTGGAGTGATTATTGCTATAAGAGTTACACAAAGGATTCTCTATTCTCAAGAACTTGTAATCAGAAGACAAAAATCAAACTATGAAAGTCACACAACACAATTTAAATAACAAGTCAAGACAACAATAGATACAAGTCACAAAGCAATTAACATGATTAATTGCCAAATTAGTGGTTAAAGAAAATAAACACAATAGGAGCGAAGAGAGCAGAGAAACCACTTTTAGCTTGGGTAACCAAGGAAGGTTCACTGGAATACAACTGGCCTCTAAGAATGCATAGGATCTGGCCAAGTGAGGGGAAGGAGAAATAGTTATGGGCAATTGTCTTTAAGTAAGGGCAAAACCTAAGAGACAGGCACTGCTAGACTGAAAACTCTAAGAAGAAAGAGAATGCATTAAACCCTGGATCCCTCAGTGTCCAGCAGCATACCTGCTGGCACACAGGAAGTACCTGAAAGCTATTTCATAAATACTGCAAGTGAGCAAGGTAGAGCTGGAGTGGACAAGGTCAAACAAGTTACAGAAATGTCCTGGACTGTTTGCTATTTCAACTGTGGGAATGCTGGTAATTATTACTCATATTAGTAAATGTTATATAAGAGATCCCCAGGGCCAAGGCCAACTTAAATACCATTTTCATACATTCAATGTACAGTGTTATTTTATAAGAAGTAATTTTTATACTAAACACTACTAATTTTCCAATGAAAATATTCCTGTAAACTTTTTAGGCCACTGTTTTTATGCCTTGATCCAAAACATGTCCTAAATGCTGCCTATTCTCTGAACTCTGGGGCTCATATTTTATATTATTTGCATACTATTTATCTAAATCCCATAGACATTCCTGATCCATATAGGGAAGGCCTAAGGAGTATTTACCTTGGCATGCTCCAATAGCTCTGATTCTCAAGGGAATGTACTAGCAGAGCTTTGATCTCACCCTGATTAGCTCTCATGCTACATGCTTTATTTATGTTTGTATCTCAACAATGCCTCACACTTACTTGGTGCTCAGTACATGCTTAACCTATCTAAAAAAATAAATTTGAATGAATATGGAAAGCACAAAAGCAGAGTAAAGGAAAGAATAGATGGAAAACCAGTGGAGATGGGGAGATAGGGAGATGGGGAGAAGAAACAAAAAGAAAATGAAAAAGTAGAGAGAGAGAATTGTAGTAGGAAACTGATGACAGGGTAGAGCCAAAAATAGAGAATTAGATAAAGAAGAGTGGGGAAGAAAGGAAAAGGAAGAATTAATAGATTCTGAAGTGTCATTAAAGGATTCCCTTTCCTGTTACTGAAAAGTGCTTTCTAAAGATAGAAAAAAAACGTTTTTTATATCTTCAAATTCTTATATTTAAATGATTATGAAAAGACTTAGCATCTGCTATATGAGCATATCTGGAACTACAGGGTAATGGGATAAGTGTGCCATCCACGTATTTTTGGTTGTTAGGTAGTTTGAAAGGATTTCGTTCTTAGATTGCGCTTGAGATGCTACTGTTATACACTATAAATTCTAAAGCCTTGTGCAAGTTAAATAATCTCTCTCGTCTTCAGTGTTCTCATTTGTAAAATAAGGATAACAGTCATGCTCCAGAGAGCTGTTATGAGGATCCACTGACTTGGTGCACATAAATAAAGTATTTAGAACAGTTCCTGGCACACAGAGAGCACTTGCTGTCACGAGTATTCAAAAGTACAAATTGCAAAACCAAAAAATAAGGAGGAGGAGAGTCTATCTCAAACACTATTTTCCTTAAACCCTTTACTTCACTGGGGCAATAATTTTCTGAGCTAAAAACCTCAATTGACCTCCTCACCTCTTCACCGGGCTACTTCATTTCTTCATTCCACAGACAAAAATTCTCATGGGGGTCCAACCATGAAAAGACTTAATCAGAGCAGTAAAATAATTTTCCAGTGTCCTAAAGCAAATCTAATGGAGCCCATCATGCCTCTCATGTTACACAGCAGAAATTTACAGGGAAACAAAGAGAAGAATATCAAGATGGGGCATGTAAATTGGCTGCAGAGCAAGCAGAGACTAGACAGAGCCATCAGAGAAACAAGGACAGGAAGCATCTAGTCTAGGCCAGAGGCTTTCAAACTTTTTTGACACATAATAAGAAATTTTTATATCACCATTTTATATCACCATCAGTAGAGATATCTGTACAGAGTAATATTATATATGCATATGTGTACATATATCTGTGTACGTGTTCATATATAAATTGAAAACAAAATTGTTAAGCAATGATACTTAGCTTTATTACATGACGTGTACTTTTGTTCCATTCTCTTCTGTTTTTTATGTAAATCAAGGCCCTCTAAAATGATTTCATAACACACCTAAAGGTCACAGCTATCAGTGGTTTGTAACCCACAGCTCTGTCCAGTACAATCTCACAGAAGGTAGCTTCCTGGAAAATGAAGATAAAAATACTCAACCCTACACTTGGTCAAAACTATTCCTTGAACACTTCATTCAGTTCTAGGTGTTACACTTTAAGAAGTATAGAGACTAACTGGATCACATTCAGAAGAAGCCAAAAAAGACAGGGAAGGACACAAATCCATGATAGCAGCAAAGGCTACATGTTAGCCTACAGAAGAAAGAACTATCAAACATGATAGCTATCTTCACTAACATGCAGGATCAATTAAGCTTGTTCTATATTGTGACAAGAGCTAGAAGTGGCAAGGCAAAGGGTTTCAGGTCAATGTAGAAAAGCACTATGTAACAGTATTAGCTGCCCAGGGAGCTGTGTTGGGACTCATGGAGCTTCCACATGACTAGAGATACTTACAGACAGCCTGAACAGTCACTTGGCAGAGAAGCATTAGAAGGGGTTCATAGATCATATGGTTAACATTAGAGTGTAATGCTTTCCATTCCTGAAATTCTATAATTCTGGTGTAGATTAAAACAATGTTATACTTTAATATGACTACTAAAGCTAACACTAGTTCTTTATTAAGTTTTTAATAAGAAATGAATTCTACCATGAACCACATGAAACAAAGTTGAAATGGTAAATGATATTTTCTTGTAACAAGAGAATGTAACAAAAATTGGCAATGTGCCTATCATAGTCATTAAAAATCTTCATCAGTTACAATTAGAGAAAAACTGAAGTGTTACCCAAATCACTGGCATAGTGTTTAAGACGTTCAACTTAGAAAATATAACTACATTACAGCTTTAAGAAGCAAACATCAAAAAAAGGTGATCTTTAAAATGTACAGAAATAAGAGTGTTTACAAAAGAAGATTGTATTATAAACATTCTCTCCTTGCCCAAAAGCCATTCTTTGGTGTGTGTAGATTTTATGTGCATTTTATACGTATAAAATATACGTGTAAATTCTCTCCTTACCCAAAAGCCATTCTTTGGTGTGTGTATATATATGTAAAGCATGGACAAAGTAACAATGTCCTCTGATTTTTTACTGATCCAACTAACTGAAAATTTGAGTTATCTTCAGAATAGTTTTTATTTGTATAACCATCTACCATATTTGTTTTAAAAAACAGTATCTCCAATTATCTAACATGTAGTTAGGAATTACTTATCAATAACATACTACTGTTGCCCCTCTGAGATAGAATTCTTAAGAAGGCCAACTCCTGGACTGTTAGAATGCAGAAATCTTTCTAGAATCGTGCTATTCAAAGAGAGCAGGTCCATGGACCAGTTCTGGTCTGTAAATTATTACTAATCCATAATAAGAAAAGTACAGAAAATGAGATAAGAATTTTAAAACTTTTACAGCAATGTGTAAGAATAAATCTGATGAATCTACTAATAAAAGAGTCAAGCCTTGTATTTCATGTCTTTTTCATTTCACTCTTCTAGCAATTCATTTTTATATTTTACAAAAGTATCAGCTGGTGACCAGCTACATTTTTTTTAATCTGTTCTTCCATCAAAGAGTTTGAAAAACACTTTTCTGAAGAATCTTTAGATGCTGAAGGTCCTTGGATATGAAGATAAGCTGCTTTACTTTGATGTCTTCTAATCTCCCTATTCATCTTGGTTTTCCCACAACAGTAACAAACATTAATTTATTTCTTTCCAAGTGTTCTTTTGATATCTCTACTAAGTTGACAGCAACATCAATATAGTTCACTGCCCAAAATTTATCATCAGGTTATCTGTCTGACTGCTCAGAACCTGTAACACTATTTCATTTCCATCCAGATGTAGCTCCAACATATTCTTGGATTCATTCCTTGCAAGAAGATATTAATAAATTTGACAAGCCAGTTTGAAGGGGTCATCCAATCTTGCAACATGACTGCTGGCATAATCTGTGGCAGTCTATCCTTTGGAACTTCTAAAGGTAGTATGGCTCAGTTTTAAATCCCAGGCCTTCTAAAGAGATCATCTAAAGTAATGGTCTCTCGCGTCCTGAATTCCTGCCAATCTACCTATAATTCCAATCTTCCATTTGAACTATATTGGTTCTCAGAATCCTTTTCTGACTTACATACTCTTTTAATTTCTTAAGTAAATACATACAAAGATAGATATAATAAACATATTTATAAAAACCTGCCAATGACAATTCCAAAAGATACTTTTATGATGCAAAAACATGATAAATACTATTCTTTAAAAATTAAATACATTGTGCTGTGCTGTAAGAAATTATGCCACAATGCCAAGAATTATATCACTAGTTTTAGTTAAGATTTGCAAAGTCATTCAAGCTTCCAAATCCTCAATAACTTTAATAATGGAAAAAAAAAAAGAATAAGGAGTCTGCGAATGTAGGTCAAAAAGCAAATCAGTGACAGACTTAAAATAACTATATGTGTTTAATTTCTGCCCCAGTTCCAACAATGAAATTGTATTCCCTTTCCATACCCTAGTAATTGTTCAGCATTCTTTCCCAAGGTGGGAGACTGAGACTCCACAACCTTGGTTCAATGTTTGTATCTCCTAAGGCCAGTTTCTGGAATTAGGCATGGTTAAACAATGTGACAGCACAGAAGAATGGCTCTTTTCTTTGAGTGGCTAAAAGCTTGGGGGTTAGTGGGTATAGTGTAGGCAAAGTAGTGGTGTAGGTTTTGTGAAAAGAAGAAGAAAAGGAAAAATACTTGGAGGAGGCACGTCCTATTCCTATTCTATCTCAACATGATCTGGTTTTTATTTTTTATTATTAGATTTGTTTCAAATCATATAAATGGCTGCTAGTGGAAAACAGATCAGATCTAGAACAGTTATGAAGAGTCTAGTTAGGACTGGTTAGGAAAAGAGATGGAGTGCTGACAGTACTGAGAGAGAGAAATGGATGAACTACAGGTCAGACAGCTTCTGAGAGGAACTGATGAGGCTTGAAGAGAGATTTGCATTTCAAGAAGTAATGATACCTTGAAGTCCATGCTCAAGATTGTGATAAGGATTTAGTTTCAGTATCTCATTTTATTTAGGAGCCCACAGCTGCACGCTTGCCTCCATTTTTCTCTACCCTTCCTTTTCTATAATCTTTTCTTCTCCCCTGATTTCCTCTTCCTACCTTATTGTCCTTTCTCTGTCTTCCTTCTTTCCCTTCAAATCCACCCCTTTCTTTCTTCCCTCCCTAACCTTCTCCTTTGCTTACATACAATATGGAACTGAAAGAATTTTAAAATATTTATTCTATTTATGAATAGTTCTTAACTTAAAATCCAGAGGGTTCAAACATGTATACATATTATACATTTGCAAAAAGACATGTAATAGAATGTTCACAATGGCACTATTCAAAATGGCACTATTCATAATACTAGTGTATTAGTCTGTTCCCACACTACTAATAAAGACATGTCCAAGACTGGGTAGTTTATAAAAGAAAGAGGTTTAATTGACTCACAGTTCAGCATGGCTGGGGAGGCCTCAAGGAACTTACAATCACAGCAGAAGGGGAAACAAACACATCCTTCTTCACGTGGTGGCAGCAAGGAGAAGTACCGAGCAAAAGGGGGAAAAGCCCCTTATAAAATCATCAGATTGTGTGAGAACTCACTATCACAAGAACAGCAGCACGGGGGTAACCACCCCCAGGATTCAATTACCTTCCACCGGGTCCCTCCCATGACAGGTGGGGATTATGGAAACTACAATTCAAGAAGAGATTTGGGTGGAAACACACCCAAACCATATCAATTAGGAACTACCCAAATGCCCTTCAAAAGTACAGTAGATAAACCGTGGCATGTTACACAATGGAACTCTCATTGCTCAGCCAGAAAAATGGGTGATCTACAACTATCTGCAACAATATAGAATATCACAAACATAACGCTGAACAAACGAAGCCTCACACAAAATGCCATTTTGTGCAGTATAAATTCCATTTATATATATATTTTTAAAAGTATATTAACCTATTTTGTTAGAAGTCAGGATAGCAGTTATCCTTTCATGGGAAGAGGGGTCAGTGACTAGATGGGAGCACAAAGAGGACGTACAAGGTGCTGATAATGTTCTGGGTTTTGGGTGCTAGTTACACAAGTCTGTTCAGCTTGTGAAAATTCAATGCATTATATACTTACTTATGATTCAGTGTACTTTTCTGAATGTATACTATACCTCAATAAAAAGTTTTTAAATTTAAAAATCAATTAGTTTAAACCTTTAATGTTTAGGGGAGGGAAGTAGCAACAACTAACCTTTTTTGTTTCTCTGATGCTTTCTAATGACTTTTTTCAACCTAGGAGACAACTGTGATACACCCCTGAACCTGGAACCATGACATTACTGTCAGATCCACAGTTTTATACTTATTGTGCCAGGTCCTATGCTAGGTGGTGGAGACACAGCTGTTATGCCAGATAATGGCCTTGTCTCCTCTACTAAGGGAGACAGGCCTAACAAACAAACAATAAATAAAAGCTTGAAATTGGCAATAGGACAGATTCTGATACAGAAAAGAACAAGGGAGAACTGTTATAGATGGAATGGCTTAGCTATGCAACCCTGAACAAGTCACGCAACTTACTTGAGTTTCAGTTACCTCATCTGCCTTAAGGGATTATTAGAAGGATTATATGCAACAAAACGTTTCAAAGCACTTACATTACAATGAAAAATTATTAATGATAACAGCTATTGTTATATTACTGTCCTTCCTGCCAATATAGAGCTGCTTATGTTAACCAATGTCATAGCATGTCCTATACACTACTACCATAATCATAACAATGAGTGATATTTTATAAGTCTCTAATTCTCAGTCAAAAGGCTTCTACTATGGGAGAAGCAGGTGCATTGGTAAATGGGTGTCCTTTGCCACAGAAGGAGATACTAGTGATACAAAGGTCTGGCTCAATTTCACCAGAGCCTTTTCTGACCTTTCTAGGGAAGAAAGCACAGAAAGATGATGCTAACAGAGGGGCAGGCTAGAGAAATTTAACCAACTGGAGAACATACAAGAAGTACCTCAAATTTTGTCAAGTGAAACTTTTGCGCATTAAAAGACATTATCAACAGAGTAAAAAGGCAACCTATGGAATGGGATGGGATACTTGCAAATCATACATCTATCTGAGACGGAACTGATATTCAGAACCCAAAAAGAAATCATACAATGAATACCAAAAAAAAACTTTTTTAATGGGCAAAAGACTTGAACAGACATTTCTCCAAAGAAGATATATAAATGGCCAAGAAGTACATGAAAAGATGCTCAAGCCTGTAATCCCAGCACTTTAAGAGGCCAAAGTGGGAGGACTGCTTGAGCCCAGGAGTTCGAGATCAATCTGGGTGACATAGCAAGACCCTATCTCTACAAAAAATAAACAAATCACCCAGGTATGGTGGCACATGCCTGTGGTCCCAGCTACTCAAGAGGCTGAGGTGGGAGGATTGCTTGAGCCCAGGAGGTGGAGGCTGCACAGTGAGCTGTGATTGCCCCACTGCACTCCAGCCTGGGTGACAGAGTGAGACTCTGTCTCAAAAAAAATAATAACAATAATAATAAAGAAAAGATGCTGAACATCAGTAAACATTAGGGAAATACAAACCAAAACCACTGTGAGATACCACTACACACCCATTAGGATTACTACTATGAAAACAAAAACAAAAACAAAGAAAAACAGAAAGTAATAAGTGTTGGTGTTGAGGAGGATGTGGAGAAATTAAAACCCTTGTGTCTTGCTGGTGGGAATATAAAACAGTGCAGCCTCTGTGGACAACAGTATAGCACACAGCCATAAAAAAAGAAGGAAATCACATCCTTTGCAGCAACATAGATGCAGCTGCAGGCCATTATCCTAAGTGAATTAACACAGAAACAAAAAATCAAATACTGCATGTTCTCACTTATAAGTGGAAGCTAAACACTGGGTAGACATGGACCTAAACATGGGAACAATAGACACTAGGGACTCCAAGAGAGGGGAGGAAAGGAGGGAGCCAAGGGTTGAAAAACTACCTACTGGGGCCGAGCACAGAGGCTCACGCCTGTAATCCAGCACTTTGAGAGGCCAAGGTGGGTGGATGGCTTGAGTCCAAGAGTTCGAGACCAGCCTGGGCAACATGGCGCAACCCCATTTCGAAAAAAAATACAAAAAATTAGCCAGGTGTGGTAGTATGTGCTTTAGTCCCAGCTACTCAGGAGACTTGATGTGAGAGGATTGCTTGAGCCCAGGAGGTTGAGGCTGCAGTGAGCTGTGGTCATATCACTGCACTCCAAACTGGATGACAGAGTGAGACCCGTGAGACCATAGCTCAAAAAAAAAAATTGTTTTTAAAAAAAGAGAACCTACCTATTGAGTACTATACTCACTACCCATGTGACAGGTTCAATTCTACCCCAAACCTCAGCATCACACAATATACCCTTGTAACAAACTTGCATATGTATCCACTGAATCTAAAATAAAAGTTGAAATTATTTTTAAAAACAGAAAGAAAACAGTATAGCGGTTCCTCAAAAAATTAAACAGAATTATCATATGATCTAGCAATTCTACTTCTGGGTATATACGCAAAAAACTGAAAACAGGGACTTTAAACAGGTATTTGTACACCCATATTAATAGCATTATTCACAGTAGCCAAAGATAGAAGCAACCCAAGTGTCTATCAATAGATGAATGGATAAACAAAGTGCGATATATACATACATTGAAATACTATCTAGCCTTTAAAAGTAAATTCTGACACTACAACACGGATGAACCTTGAAGATATTATGCTAAGTGAAGAAAGCCAGTCACAAAAGGGTAAATACTGCATGACTCACTTACATCAAGTGAGGTACCTAAAGTAGTCACATTCAGAGACAGATACCAGAATGGTGGCTGCCAGTAGCTGGGGGAAAAGAGAAATGGAAGTTGTTGTTTAATGGTAGAGAGTTTCAGCTTGCAAGATGAAAAAAGTTTTGGAGATATACGTCTCCAAATGCCACATTTGTGATGTACTTAATGCCAAAGATGTGTACACTTAAAAATAATGAAAATTGTAAATTTATGTTATGTATATTTTACCACATTATAAAACATAATGTGCCAAGCCCAAAATTGACCCAACATGTTAATTACTGAATCACAAAAATTTTAAAATAATGTTTTTTAAATGAAAAATTCAGGAGTCCACAGATGAAAAAAAATCATTCTGAGGGCATTACACCTACTTAAAAGCGGAACATCAAAATGCTCTCCAAAACTTCCACTTGATTCAAGGTTTGTTATCAATAAATTGGCAAGAGCAAAGGTTGAGATAAAAAATCTTCTCGGAAAACAAAAAAAAAAAAGATGTATTTTTCAAAAAGTCAAGAGAAGCAAGGTCAGTGGGATAAACTTAACTTTCATAACATGCCATTAGAAAGATAACCAAATTACTGAGGAAATGTGGCCCTGAGATGGAAGATTACAAAATTAATTCTCAAGCAACACGGCACCAAAAAATAAAACTATTCAAGTAACATGGCAGCTGAAAAGAGGCTGTTCTACATTTCTATGCAAGCATAAGGAGACTTTTAACATATGAGTGATGGTATAAGAATAATTAATTTGGAGCCCTAAAACAAATGTATATGCATATTAACCTGTACTAAAAAAAACCCTCACCTGTCTTCCAAACTCAAAGCATTTTGTAAATTTGTCATCCTAATAAAACAAAAACTAATCCAAAAATACTATCTAAAAATTGTACACAATAGAGGGGACAAAAGACAACAGTGGAAGTGATTTTTTTTTTCCTTTGAACAATGTAAAGTGGAGCCAGGAATAGACTAGATGAATTTTCTACCCACTTTTCTTTACACATTAGACTGGCTACCTCCCTTCACTTCTTCCCCTACATCAACCTCCATACCAAATGAAGTCACCCTAAAGTGAAGTCATTGGAGGGCATGAAAAGCCCAAGATCAGAACCACCTAAAATCTCAGACCCCAATTTATCCTGGCACTTACTACCCCAGACTCTGGAAGCCTAGCCAAAGTTCCCAAAGTGATTTCAGACTTCATTGGGTTAAGGCCAACACCACCACTTACAATCTTAAGCACAAAATACAAAAGGCCATAAAACACCATATGCAAGAGCACTTTGTAATGTTAAAAGGCTCATAAACTGTTTAATTAAAATTATTTATATTACTGTATTATACTATTATGATCACAAAAAGTCTAGACAGGCAGCTAACTACCCAGGGTAGAAAAGAATATGGGCTGGGATATGAGGAGTAAGAGGAACCTGTGTTTCCTTCTGGTTAGCAATCCCAAGGAATACTTCCTGATGGACATCCTGCCCTCAGTAAAACACTTAAAATATCAACACCATGCACTGTTCACTGAGTTTCCAGATGTTCTGGTACCTAGATAAACACCCAAAGTTCCAGCCAAACTTCTTGCACATCTATGACCCCACACACTGCCCACACTAGCAGAGTTCAACAGCCCACCGCTTATGCCCTTCATCCTCAGACAGAACTCCCTGCATTATCTATCTTAAGAGGCTTCTTCACCCCTCTGTTAACAACTGTTGCATGTATCCGCTCAAGACAATCAGTGTTCAATCTCTAATGACTGTTAAAAACTCTTAAGTTCTATCTGCTAAAACAGCTGGCATCTTCATGCCCATTCATTTTTCAACCTAATCAAATATTCTAAGTTTCATCCACCTGCAGGGTCAGAGGAAGCCATGGTGATTTTTCTCCTACCTCCGTAGATTTGCAAAAAGCAATGAACAAGGAAAGAAGGCTGTCTCAGAATCAAAAATCTCTGGATCTCCCATCCATTTCTGCTACATGATTTCTCTGAGTTTTGTTAGATGAGAGTGAGCTCCTGTTTTGCTCTGCTTGCCTGGGTCTTATTCAATAGTTCCTGTTATACTGCTTGCATGGACACTCTTTATAGACTCCCTGATTCTAAAATAACAATGTGACAACAATAACACAGTGAAATAATAATATATCATACCACATATTATTTATTATATATAACAACATACAATAATATCACCCACCATAACGTGAACATTATGACCAAGCACTACTGTAAGTGCTTTATATGAATTATCTCATTTCACCCCCATAACTACTTAATAAGGTCATTAATGCCATCCCCATTTAAGAGAAAACTGAAGCACCGAAAGGTTATGAGACCTATCAAAGGTCATTAAGCTGTAAGCAGAGTTAGGATACAAACTCAGACCTCACTGACTGAAAAACCCACATGCTTACCATCACATTATCCTGCCACACAACCCCTCTAAAGATGGCTTCCTGTGTTCCAACCCCTATCCAATCTGACTTCCAGCTTCTGCCCACACCTGACCCTCCCCAGCCAAATCTTGCTTTATTTTATTTCTTCTGGTCCTGGCTATTTTTCTTTTCTCCAAAGTCATCTTAAGTGTTCTGATAAAAGATTGTTGAACTATTGAGTAAATTTTCCCATGTATCTTCTGATTCTACCTCAATCTAACTTCTGTGTTTGCTTTCATATATGCCAATAAACAACTGAATTCCTACACAATAGCAGCTAAATGATAAAACATCTAGTAATAAAGTTAACAGTAAGCACGCAGTATGGAAGAACTGCTTTAATTGTATTGACTGCTTTCTAGGTCTGCCATATAGCTATTATTTTAGGTCTTCCCTTCCTGTATTGAATCACTTATTTTCTTGTTTTACCTTCTTGCTTTGTTGGAGCATATATTCCACTAGCATCCTAAGAAAGGGAGAAAAGGATATAAATTTTTTGAGTTCTTGAAAGTCTGAAAATGTCTAGTTTTAAATTTGATTGATAATTTGGGCAGGTACAGAAGTTGGCCCAACAGACATATTGTCATAGTTTCATGAATGCAGTATTTTCTCTTATTTTTATAAGGATATTAATTATAGCTTTAAAAAAATTCTTCTGTACCTTGCATTGTCTCTGTTTTGCTCTCTGTCTTTCATGTTGATGGCTTTCCTCAGACTGATGATTCCTGGCTGTGCATTTCTGTTAAAGAATGCATCTCTAACATGAAAATTTGAAGCCCTTTATACATGGGTGTTGTCAACGACTGAGCTTCACTGTAGTGTTATCAGGCAGCATTCTGGCCTTTTTATTGGAGGACTGCCAGATTGATTATCTGGAGGTCTTTCTCTGGGACCATAAAATAAAATGTGCCCATATGGATGCATATATTCCTATGTATCAGCAAAATTTTAATTACTGGGCCAAGAAGTATGCAAATTTAAGACTTTTGATGTATAGTAGTCCCCCCTTATCTATGGTTTTGCTTTCTGTGATTTCAGTTACCCTTGGCCTACCCTGACCCTTGGTCAAGAAAACGCAATGTTTGGTCTGAAAATACTAAATGGAAAATTCCAGAAACAATTCATAAGTTTTAAATTGCATGCTGTTCTGAGATTGTTCTCACACCTTCCAACTCTGTCCCGCCTAGGACATGACTCATCCCTCTGTCCAGCATAACTGTCTACACTACCCACCCGTTAGTCACTTAGTCGCTGTCTTGGTGATCAGATCAACTGCCTTGGTACAGCAGTGCTTGACTTCAAGTAATCCTTATTTTACTGAATAAAGTGCTTCGGGAAAGCACAAGAGTAGTGATGCTGGCAATTCAGATACACTAACGACAAGCCATAAAGTGCTTCCTTTAAGGAAAAAGGTAAATGTTCTTGACTTAATAAGGAATTAAAAAAAAATATGCTGATGTTGCTAAGACCTAACATAAGAACAAATCTTCTATCCATGAAATTGTGAAGAAGGAAAAAGAAATTTGTGCTAGTTTTGCTTTGCACCTCAAATTGCAAAAATAACAGCTACAGCGTATGCTACGTGCTCAGTTGAAACAGAAAAGGCATTAAATTTGTGGGTGGAAGACACCAACATAAACGTGTTCTGACTGACGGCAACAGAGTTCCATCAGAGGTTTCAGGCATCTACTAGGGGAGGTCTTGGAACATATCCCCTAATGAGAAGGGGGGACTAGTATATTCATCTATTTCATGATTCAACTTAAATCTCAGTTCCTCAGAGAGAGCTTCTCTAACCTTCAATTCTCAATTTGCCTCTCATCAGGGTAATCTCTCTTCATTTCTCTTTCTCAATTAATTAAAAAGAAGTTTTTTTGTTAACTAAATTATGGTATGTTTCCTAATGAAACAGTATACAACTATTTAAATGAGGTTACAAAAACGTATGTAGAACACAGGGTTAAGCAAGACAATTTTTAAGAATTAGAACAAGATGGAAGGGGGGAATTTGTCCTACTGGCTATCATGACATTTCACAAGACTGTAATAGTTAAGAAAGTATGGAACTGGCACAAGGACAGTGAGGCTGACTGACCAAAACAGAAAGCCTGGCAACAGGCCCATGTGTGATATAAACTTGACATCCATGGGCAAGGATGGCCTTCTCAATAAATGAGGCTAGGTCAACCAATTATCCATACGGTGGGGGGGGTGGGGGAGACAATATCTCTATCTCACTCCATATTACAGAAAAAATAAATTCCCATTTAAAGACCAAAAAAGGAAACAGGAAAACTTTAAAATTCGTAAAGAAAGATGTGTGACTTTTGGATAGGCCCAGATTTCTTAAAACTCTCTTTCTCTCTCTCTCTCTCTCTCTCACACACACACACACACACAAACACACACACGTGCACACAGGCACATATATTCAAATCTAAAAAAGAAAATACTGTAGAATATAACTTCATCAAAATCAAAACTCTTGGATGTCAGGGGCACTAAAATAAGAATATATGCCACAGACTTTGTGCAGATATTTGTAATACATGTAATTACCAAAAGATCAGTATCCAAAATACACAAAGAATGCTTTAAAATCTATAGAAATATACAAACAATCCACTTAAAAGACGAACAAAGGATATCCCAAAGGAAGAAATCTGAATTGCCAATAAGCATATTAAAAGACTTTTCACCACAATGAGATACCAGGTCGCATCTCATCAGCTTGGCAAAAATATAAGTTTGACAATATCAAGTACTGGTGAGGCTACAGAATAGTAGAAACTCATTTCTGATGGAAGGAAAATGATTCAATCTGGCAATATCTAATAAAATAGAAGATGTATACATCTTAAGAGCTAGTAATTCTATTTCTAGGAATATACCTTTGATGGGTAGCTTTCAAAGTTTTGATCATCACACATATTTTCATTATGACCCAGTATACACATACTTACTTATTTAACCGAAATGAAAATTCACAAAACAGTGCTTATTCTTACTGTGACACATTTTGAGAGTTTCCATTTTGTTCTCATTCATTTTTTAATGTTGGGTGACTCACTCAATTGATTTTACAACCACTAATGGGTAAATACACTCAGTTTAAAAAACTGTCCCAGAAAATATTCTCATACATATTTTCTTGTGCACATGTGAGAGAATGTTCACTGTGGCATTCTTTGTCAAAAAAATAATTTAAACAGTGTAACAGTCAATCAGCAGAAGAATGAATTTAAAATTAAGGGCATATTCACACAATGGAATACAAAATATCAGCACAAAGGAAAGAACCAAACCTGTAAATATCAACACAGATAAATCTCATTAACTTTATACTAAGTAAAATGGGCAAGATATAGATGAATATATATAGTATATCATTTGTACAAACTTTTTAAACACGCAAAATAATACTGTTGAGGAATATATTTATGTATAATGAATACATAAAGTATGAAGACAGGCGTGGGGAAAAAGGGGAATGAGATCAGGGAAAAGTACAGAAAAGTTAAGTGAACAACTAAATCTAAATTATTAAAAACTGCCCATCTTCAGACGAGATTGGGCGCAATCAAGGTGGTATGGCCATAGACAAAAATTAAACTATTGCCTCCCAGGGCAGCAGCTTCCTTCCAGACACAAGGCTAATGAAGATTCAGATTGCCAGTTAGAGAGACTCATGCAGCCAAACTGAGATCAGTCTTCAAAGCTTACAGCACTCATCCTTTAAAAGTGTTCTGTCTATTTAGTAATCAAGTACTTACACTGAGTATCTATTTTTAACTAAGTAATGAAATTCAGAACATGGACAAAAAAATGCAATAGGTAGTTGTGGGCGGATGAGATGTCACAGCAGATGCCCCAAACACAGCCATGTGCCAGTGAGGTTGAGTCACTGCAATATGCTGAAAAAAGATACTGAGGCTCAGCTGCCACAGGTTGCAGTGAGCCCTCTCTGCTTTCCTCACTGTTGTATTTGCCAGGCATCATTCCAGAATGCTGAACAGACACTTAGACATTTTCAAGATTAGAAAAATCACTAAAAATGACAAAATATGGCATCTTACAAATAGCACATGCTTGTGATCAAATTAACACAGAGCAAAGAACTAATAAACAGTAAGCTCATGGAATAATTCTCTAAAATTAATAATTTGGTCCCTTCAGATCTCAGTCTGTATTTTACCTGCAAGAGTAAATCCAGTATTAGATAATACACTTTACTATAATTTCCTTTTTTTTTTTTTTTTTTTTGAGACAGAGTCTCACTCTGTCGCCCAGGCTGGAGTGCAGTGGTGCAATCTCGGCTCACTGCAAGCTCCACCTCCCGGGTTCACGCCATTCTCCTGCCTCAGCCTCCCGAGTAGCTGGGACTATAGGCACCCGCTACCATGCCCGGCTAATTTTTTGTATTTTTAGTAGAGACGGGGTTTCACCGTGTTAGCCAGGATGACCTCGATCTCCTGACCTTGTGATATGCCCGCCTCGGCCTCCCAAAGTGCTGGGATTACAGGCGTGAGCCACCGCGCCCGGCCTACTATAATTTCAAAAATGTCAACTCATTTCAGGGAATGTCATTAAAAAGAATTATGCATAACAGAAAGTAAGCAATACACTATCAGGCCAATAAAAATCCTTCCAAACCACAAGAACAAACCACTCTGATACCCAAAACAAGTAGTTTCTCAAGGAAAACATCTAACTCATTCATTCATCCATTCAAATCCTACTTACTACATTACATGTGAAAAGTACGAAGATAGATCTTAAGGAGGTATAAACATAAATTAAACAAGAACTTGGCCCTTAAGATACTGATGGGTCTAGCAATGGAGTTTAGAAACATACACAGTCTTATTAAGTAAGGTAGAAAAATCTAGATAACATAAGAGAAATATATATGAATTGCTATTTAAAAAAAAAAAAAAGAAATCTTGCTTCGATTAGGTTCTTGCCTATTTCTCCTATGAACCAGATCTAGAATATAGATAACTTAGACCTTATCTCTTCAAGGCCAACTGGCTACATGTAATAAGACTGGTTCTTGTGACCTTTAAAAATTGTCTCCTTGTTTTATACTTTTATTTATACTGTGTCCTATAGGGTATACCTCTTCGAGTTAATAGAAATTAGACATGTAGATCCTACCACTCATAACTGTGTCTGCTGAAGATCTAAAAGAAAGGAATGCCAAAAGTGACACACCAAAAAGAAGCCATTCTTTTCCCTAACTCTGTCATTGTTTTGTTACAGAAACGAGAAATTCACACTTCGGCTGATGGAAGGATTGAAGAAGGAATTGTTAATGAACTTCTAAAGAACTTCCCTGAATCTTTCAGACAAGTACTACATAAAAGGCATCAATAATGTTCCAGATTAACAAGGTCTTTCACATCATTTTATGAATGTGGGTAGAGGTATTTTTATTTCTTTTTTGAAGCTAACGAAAGTAAATTCCATACATATTAAATGTCATTAAATGCCATATCACATATTTTTCAGGCAGTTAATCCAGAAAAAGCTAGGACTAGGCCAGGCACAGTGGCTCACGCCTGTAATCCCAGCACTTTGGGAGGCCAAGGTGGGTAGATCACCTGAGGTCAGGAGTTTGACACCAACCTAGCCAAGATGATGAAACCCCATCTCTACTAAAAATACAAAAAATTAGCCAGGCATGGTGGCGGACGCTGTAGCTACTCAGGAGGCTGAGGCAGTAGAATCGCTTGAACCCAGAAGGCAGAGGTTGAGGAGCCAAGATCGCGCCATTGCCCTCCAGCCTGGGCAACAAGAGCGAAACTCTGTCACGAAAAAAAAAAAAAACACTAGGACTAGTGGATTCATTTCAAATTTGTCATCAGATCCCACTATTTGCACTTAAATCTTCAACTAAACATTCAGGAATTTGAGAACACCCAAAAGGGAATCTGTGAAAAAGAAGCAACAAGACTTTATGCTGAAAAACGTAACTGGTTTCTCAGGATACTGATAGAAAGAGTAAGAATTTCAGGTTGATATCACTTTACATATACCAGTCACCAGTCCACTAGCCATCAGGCCCCTGTCAGGTCTTCATTACCTCTGAAAAGAATGTCTGTGACATGCTAAAAAAGAAAGATTTATTTCTATGTCCTATATATTCAGGTCAATGAACATTCCTGGTTGATGGGTTGGTTTTATTTTTTTTCTTTATTTTTGTTTAGAGAAGGGGTCTAGCTATGTTGCCTAGGCTGGTCTCAAACTCCTGGGCTCAAGTGATCCACCTGTCTCAGCCTCCCAAGTAGCTGGGACTACAAGCATGTACCACTGTGCCCAGCTCAGGTTGTTTGGTTTTTTTTTTTTAATGACAGCTTTACTGAGATGTAATTTACATACCATAAAATCACTGTGAAGTGTGCAATTTGATCATTCTTCATCTATTCCCAAAGCTATGCAACCTTCACCACTATCTAATTTTACAACATTTTTGTTACTCCAAAAAGAAATCCCTCACTCAAGCAGTCACTTCTGATTCCCCCAGCCTCTGGCACCCACTAATTTACTTTCTGTCTCTATGGATTAGCCTATTCTAGACACGTCACATAAACGGAATCACATACTATGTGACCTTTTGTAATGAGCTTCTCTCACTTAGCACAATGTTTTCAAGGTTCATCATGTTGTACTATGAATCAGTACTTCACTACTTTTTATGGTTAAATAATATTCTATTTTTGATATGCCAAATTTGTTTATCCATTCATCACCTGATGGACATTTGAGTTGTTTTTGCAGGACTTTTGACCTGCAAAAACCTCAGTCATCTAATCTGATTGTTCATTTTATGGATAAAAAATTGAGATCCAGTGAGAAAATGGGAACTGCCTCTGGCTACACAGACTTAAGACTATCAATGGACATCTGAAATGCCTTCTTTTCTCCAAGCTCACCCCATTCCAATAAAAGAAGAAAATCCTTAATGTGTTTGTTCCTAGCAGTAAAATGCAAGATAGGCTAGGTCCAGAAGACCTGAGGTGGGAAGGAAAAGAAAATAGGATTAGGCACAATCTTGATGAACCAAAGGAACTTATGAAAAGACCAACAGTTTTAAACCTTCAAAAACACAGAAAAAAAGAGATGAGCACAATGCAGACATAAAGATGTTATTTTTAATCAAAGAAGGAAAGAAACATGAAAGTGTGGGAAAACCTGAAGAGTTACTCTGAAATATCCAGTGATCCATTTGAAAATCTTTTTATTCTCAGACCCAGAAGAAAAATATACTGATTTAAAGATCCCAGAAAGAGGAAATCAAAGTCAAAACCACAAACTGAGAAGAAATGAGCACAGTAAAGGAAGTACATCACTCTACTTTCTGCAGGCCAAAAATTACAGTGAGGGAAACTGGAAAATACCCTCTTGAGATCTGATCTTGATGACTTCAATTACAGATGGAGTCCATCTAAAGAAAGCATTTTGTAATTTAGGAGGCTCCAATCTTTATCTAGATTGTCTATAATAATGTGGAAATTCAGACTGAATGAATCCTATATACAGTCTCTATTTCAGAATCCCCACTTCCTACCACCATTTATAAGCTGGGGAAGTCTGTCTGAGCACCAGGCCTGCTGCTTGACTAAATGGCAAAAATTCTAAACCAGTAAAAATCAACAAAAAAAAACCCTAAAAAGTCACTTTCCAATCCCTGGCTTATCTAAGGATGAGAGTTGATTTATAAATCCCCTAATGTGTATAGTTAACTTTTAGAAGAAAAAAAAAAAAGTTAAAACTGTCTTCTGATCAACTCCACCAGAGTTCTTTCTACCAAATCCTCTTGCCTCAACAAAAAAGCAGCTAACCTAACACTAGCAAAATGGCTAGTAAATAGTAAATGCTCCATAAGTATTTGATTAATGAAATTGAAGATAATATCAGATGTTTTCAAAAGCATCCTACTATTCCAAAGAAGTGTCTTAGTTTTTTATCTTACCACTAAAGAACGTTAACTCAGTATTCTTATACCCAAGTCTTTAGCTTGGTCAAACAACAGCAAGGTGTGTAGATGGCAAAAGGCAAAACAGTCTAACAAGGAGAAAGCAGAAAGAGAATCAAGAATACAACATTTCTGCTTTTACTGCTGCTGCCACCACTGCTAACACCCCTCCAAACCCAGCACTGCATGGTTGTCTCAGAGTCCATCCTGTTACCCAAATGATCCCACAGCAACCTCATGGCACCATCATGAATGGAGACACACAAGGGCACCATTCACTGTGACAAGACAATGACATGCACATTGCTTTGCCTCCTGCCAGACTACGGGATGCAGAGAGGGTGCAGACCGAGGACCTTGAAAAATCAGCTTCATGTGACATCATGGTGGACATGTGTGAAAAGTACTACCCACAGAGACACTGATATGACCATCACCAGAGATCTTTCACAGAGACCACGAGCTCCCTGTCACCTGGGAAGCAATGGCGGACCCAGCTGAGCAATGTGGACCCAGTTGGGCACAAGCTGCTCCAGACCCAGCTGGGCACAAGCTGCTGGCCCAGTTGCTGGAGCCTAGTGAAGAGGAAAATATGGTGTGCATCCTCTATGACAAGATGTACAAGAACTTCATGGAGGAGGTGGACACAATAGATAATGAGACCTACCAGTGGAAGAAGGGGAAACTTTGACATACCCTAGCCACTAGCCTGAATGCTGGCTCAACTTAATCCCACCTGGAACCAGCCCAACCAAGGTAGGGTTCAAGTGTGTGATGGATCTAACTCTTAGAGAAGAGTTTCTGCAGAGACTAGGCTTCTATTGGTACATCTGGCTGCCAGACTGGGGCCTGGGGCCCTGGCCCAGTGATTCCAGGTGCACCTAAGTGGAGAGAGATGGGAAATGGCAAAAGTGGATGCCCTTGAAAGGAACAACTCTACCACCTGGAATCTAGGCTGCCCCTACCCCAGCCATCATCTTTGTTATCTATACTGACCAGACTAGACAATAGTAGTACAGTGTGTGCCTGAGGAGCCCCACTCATTCTAAAGCTAGCTGCCCCTGCTCAAGCCACGGTGGCTTCTTCAGGACGCCCTGTACCAGGTCAGTGAGATTCCTGGCTGCATCTTTGTCCATATCAACAGCTTCATTTGTGGATGCCATATCCAAGAAGGTACCTTGAGCATGGCCCCTGCAAACTTGCCCTAGTGTCCAATACCTATGCTTCCCACAAATCCCAGAGTCCAGTGAAATTTCCTCCATCTTAAAAAAAAAGGCAACATTTCTAGTAAGAAAGGACTCAAAAATGATGGGGATATGTCAAAAGGACCCAAAAGCCACTTGATAGCACTCCCAATGACAAAAAGCTGGAGCAACTGACCAACAAAATAAATGATAATAATATTTAATTTATAACCCACAGAGGAAAATACATACCTAAAAATTCATACTGGCATAAGTAAATAACTGAATAAATAAATAACTGAAGGAGAAGGAAGAGTGTTTCTTTACAGTAGAATTCAAATTAATAAACGGGGAGGAATGAGAAAAAGAGAAAAAGCACACTTAGACAAGCACCAGAGTAGTAATAGTTATAGGCAAGAATCATCCATGGATGCTGAAATTAATGGACAAAAGGATGATGAGAAACCGGGTATTGGCAAAGTCTCAAAGCATCACTCAGCAAAATACAGTACTTAACTAATTACAAGGAGAAAAATCAGTTAACTTTATAGTGATCACTTAACCAAGTTATCAAAGTTAACTTAGTAGTAAAAAGGCATATGGATATCATATATTCCCTGATCTGATGCATTGAGGATGGTACAACAACACATCTGTACTACACTTGGGAAAAAAACATATTTTTCACTCTAATGAAAAGAAAACATTAGACAAACCCATGTGGATGCACATTTTACAAAATAAGTAGCCAGTACTCTTTAAAAGTGTCAAGGTCATGATAGGCAAAGAAAAATTGAGGAACTGTCACTGTTGGGGAGACTAAGGAGACATGATGATTGGATCCTGGAACAAAAAAGGCATTAATGGAAAGACTGGCAAAATTCAAATAAGACCTGTAGAACAATTAACAATATTATAACAATGCTAATTTCCTGTAGTATTTTTGTAGCTTTTTGGTAAATCTAAATTTGTTTCAGGAAAAAAAAAATCTGTTTTTTAATGCAACATTTCTAGGTGTGAGATCTTGCTGTTTCAACCCCATTGTGAGAAATGACCCATTTTGGCTAGCTATTATAATATTCACATTAAGAGAGTTTACCAAATGGTATCAGATTCAGAATATGTTTGTTGCTGGACTGCAGCAAACACAATAAGAAAACAAGCCAATGAATGAAAAACACACTTTTAAAACTCTGACGGCATGCTCTTCACAAAGAAAAAACAGAAAAAAAGACATGAACATTCTAGTCATAAAACAATGGTCCACAACACAAATAAAATAACCTGAAACATAAAATGTCAAGAACTGAACAAAACCAACTGAATCAACATATGATGAGATGATGACTTGGTGGGTTTCTGTGGCAGTCAATTTTTATGAGTCTGGTAAGGAAGGGCTGTCATTAGGTAAAGGTTGAATTGGTTCTGGTACATTGACTGAATTCATTCTGGTACATACCCAGATTTTAAGTCAGTTATCCTCAAACAGTTTGTAGCATCCAGTCCCACTTTTCCATTCCGGACCACGCTAGATATGAAAGGGGAGAGCATTGGAGATATTCGGTTCAAGGCCACTTCTGGGGACATTTTAACTTGACTTGTAAATCACCACTGAAAGCAGAAGGAAAGAATAATGATCAGGGCTTACAAATGGACTAGATACAACACTCTGCCTGAAAACTGGACAGCATACAGCAGTTCCTCTTGCATGAATAAATAATTCATTTCCCATCTCTAGCGCAGCCTCTTCCAATGATCCTCCAGAAGAAACCACCTCACTGCTGCTCAGCTACTCAGGACTGGGACTACATCACTGCTTTTCAGGAACAGAAGGAACTCCTGAAATACAATTCCCTTTTCCTTCCCAAAGCTGATTTCTACACTGCCACACTCTACTCAAAGTGGTCCCACTCTATCTCACTCGTTCTACCTTAGCTGAGTCCAAGGAGCCCTCGCTAACAATCCTCTATCCCAACACAAAAACACACACATCACTGAGTTAGCAATCTCTCCCTGTGTGTCCCCACAAGGAGTAAAAACTTGATGGATAATACCGTATAAAACTCTACAACAGGCTGACCTGCTTGAAGCTATTACTTACTAGAAATTATTTACTGCTGATATATCTTTCTTTTTTTTTCTTTTTTTTTTGCGACAGAGTCTCACTCTGTTGCCAGGCTGGAGTGCAGTGGCGCAATCTCGGCTCACTGCAAACTCCACCTCCCGGGTTCAAGTGATTCTCCTGCCTCAGCCTTCCGAGTAGCTGGGACTACAGGCACATGCCACCACGCCCAGCTAATTTTTGTATTTTTAGTAGAGACGGGGTTTCATCAGGTTGGCCAGGATGGTCTCAATCTCTTGACGTCATGATCCACCCACCATGGCCTCCCAAAGTGCTGGGATTACAGGCGTGAGCCACCGCACCCGGCCTACTGCTGATACACCTTTCTTAATACCTTTCCGTCCACAGTGTAGTATAACTACCTGCTTACGTGATCTCTTCCCTGCAGGGTCTATGTTTTGAATCCCCAGGGTTTAACAGAAATACCTGGCACATGCTAAACACTCAATAAACATTTTTTAATAAATAAATGAGTAAGGGGACAAAAGTTAGAGAAATATTTCAGTATGGAGAGAAGATAATGTGCCCCCTCCCCAGAATTTGGTAGGGGAATAGATATAACAAGATCCAAGGAAGAGATATAACAAAAATCTACTTGACAATTAAATTATGAAAACATACATCTATGCAGCTATCAAGCAACACAGACTAACATGGATCTTAAGGTATTTGACTTTAAGGCACTAAGTCCTTACACTTAAAACCACAAAAGTAGAACCAATACATCATATCTAAATTATCTGGAAACTCATAGGGCTGGGGGAGGGAGTACACGAATTCTTCTTAATAGATTTCTAAATGAAAGCCTCTTCCTTCAGAGGAAAAAGTCGATTCAAATGATCGTTTCCTTCCTCAATTTTAAAGAATAATGCCACATCAAAAGAAAATTAATTTCCAGCAAGTTACCAGTAAATGATGCTCTGGTTCTAGTTTTCATACATTATACCACATGAAAACTTACAAGTCCTTGCTAAAATAAATGTTGAAAATTAAAACCTGTTTCAGTTTATTATTTCAGATAGTAAGTAATAAATTTATTTGCTAATTTGATAGCTCAAAAAATAAGAACACTTTGACCCTATATAGTGATGACAACCAGAAGTATCTTCGAGATTAACACCTTTATATTCATACTTCAGTTCTAAAATCATCCTTTTTGTAAATATAAAACAAGCTCTTCTTCTGACCGCTTAACAGATGACCGCCCCCCGACTAGTCTCTCATTTCAAAGTAAGACTAAACATCTAACACTGTACTACCAATCATAAAAATCATGTACTTTTTTAAACATTTTATCACTTACAAGGAGCGTCCATATATATTACTGCAGTTGATCTTCACAAGCCTGAGGTAGTAAGGAATTTTAATTCCCAGTTTGCAGATAATATGGGTAATTATTATAATTTGATTCTGAACAGTATACTAATCCACATCATAATTTTGAAGCCTATTTTTTTCTATTCGCCAACATTTCCACCTTCATGTCTATGTCACAATTCTTGAAGGGATGCTTATCAAAGTCATATGCTAAGTACAAATATACCTATCTTATAAAAAAGCAAAAGGGTCTCACCTATATTACCGAATTGTTCTTCTGTGTTTTTCCCCACAGTACCCATTATTACTTTATCTCTTGCTTCTACAAAAGAAGGAAACAGAACCAACACATTCTAGACACCTATCTACCCATTATCAGGCATTATATTACTCATCTCTATCTGTAATTTCATTTACATTTCCCCAACTCTGTTCCCTGAGAACAATAATTGTTCCCATTTGACAAGTGGAAGCTAAAGAAACTTGACAAATAGAAAATTAAAGCTCAGCAAAATAAAATAACTTGTTGAATGTTGGAAGCTGGAGGATCAGAATCCAAATCCGGATTCTCCAAGTCCACTATACCCATCTTTCTCTCAAATAAACATTGATAACTTCTATCACCAAAGAGAAAAGCATCAAGGTGATTTTGTAAAGCGTATATCTTATAAAATGTGAACAGACAAAAAGTAAAAATTTAAACAAATGATTGCTTTACCACTAAAAACAAACTGGACTATTGCTGACCTACTGCTGAACCTGGTCTGAGTGATTCACTAGTCAAATGTTAAAGGGAACAGCCTTGCTCTAGAAGCCAAACCATACTAAGTGACAACAATACATTCTAATTCAGCAACGGTCGTGACTTTAGGATGACACCTGAGGGAATGAATTCTATTTCCAGGGCAGCCATAATACTATGTTTTAACAGTGCAAGGTTTCACGCAGTATTAAAATCTATTTCAACCATGAGGAGGTGTGACTTCTCTAAAAAAAAAGGGCGGGGGGTGGGGAGTGGAACACAATGACTCCAAAATCAGAAGTCACTTAGCCAAAAACACTGGTCCTTTGGTGCAGTGAACCGGGTACATGGACAGGGAGTCACCACCGGTAGTAACTCTTACGCATGGCAGCACTATAATACACCCCAGATATACAAATATTTACGGTGGTCAGAGTCCCCTGAATACTACTACTGCAATTTGTATTTCCTGATTTTGACGTATTGCAAAAGGAAAATGCAAAATTACAATTTTTGCAAGGGTCTGCTACCCCAAAATAAAGTTACAAAAGGTCCTTTGATGAGAGGCCTGGGGATTACAAAGACGTCTAAAGCACCATCCAGGTTCTTGCAATTAAAATGAGATGACAAACACGGAAACATGTGCCCTGCTGACGTCATGGAACGGAAAGGGGTGGCATCCTGCTGCGTCACGTCGACGTCATACAGCGCACGAGGGAAGTTACACTGGGGAAGCAATTTCCCCCAAGGGGCAACATTCGAGAAAAACAAGTTAGCTCAGACCCGAAGAATGACCACCCCACTCTAGGGGACGTCTTAAAAAGGGACACTCTCCCCTCTTCCAAACTGTATGATTCCCCTCATCAGGCAACAAGGAACTAATACTCGGGGTTTACAGGAACCAGGGGATGGGCCAGATATGGAGAAAGAGACGCCTCTGGCCTTGGGGGCTCGTTCTTGAGGGAATCAGCGTGATGGGGATGAGAAGGGCATCTTTGGAACGGGGGCCTTCTCCATAGGAAGAGGAGGCGAGTCCCCTGGCCATATTTAAACCACAGTTCTCCACGCCACCTGTGCGACTCGGGATCCAACCTCCCCGCACCAGCCCCAGTCCAGGTACCTGGAACTTAGTCCGATCGGTAACCGGCGACTACGTGGGGTACAGGTACCCGAGCGCGCCCCCGACAGACGCACCGACCTGCGCGCGCGCCGCGGGCAGGATGCGTGCGCACTCCCCGGACGTCCCGCCCCGCCCCCTCTGCGGCCCCGAAGCTGGGCGGCGTGCGCGCCCCCGCGCCGCGCCGAGCCGGGCGCTCGGAAAGGCGTCCCCGCGGTGCCTGACAGTTCCTTCCTCAGCGCCTGCCCCGTGAGTGACGAGGAGCGCGGAGTCTCGCCATATCAGGAGGGCCCTGTTACGTGAGGCTGTGCACCGAGACTATTCCAGGAAGAAGAGGGGACACTTGGTGGGCGGGGTGATTTCGGGCAGTCAGGTGGGCGACCCGCGTAGGCGTCTGAAAGGCCCGCGTCGTTAGGGAGGGCAGGAGTGGCGTCTCTGGTTACGGGGTCGGGCAAAGGGCAGAGGTCACCGTCCAGGTTGGACAGCAGCACCTTTGAGCGATGGCGGCGTCTGGGGAACCCCAGAGGCAGTGGCAAGAGGAGGTGGCGGCGGTGGTAGTGGTGGGCTCCTGCATGACCGACCTGGTCAGGTTAGTCCGGGGCCAGTTACTCAGTCTGCGGCTCGGGGGAGGAGGCGTGCCGTGCGCTATGCGCCCAGTGGAGCTTTTGGGCGCTGGGTCTCCAGGGATAGACAGTGCTAGCTTTGGGTATGAGCTGCAGGTTTTCGAAGCCTTCAGCCTACCTTCCTGGCATGAAAGAACTTGAGTATATAAAGGTAAATCTCAGGGGAGGGGACGTAATAGGCCAGGGTTTAGTGAAAGCTCTAATATTACTCAAAGCGCTCCCCAAAGACCTGCCCTCCAAAGACTTGCGCCCCCAAAGACCTTTCTTGGCCCGGCTGCTGAGCCTTTCCCCAAACGAGCCAGGGAACTTTGCCCACGTCATTTTACCTCCGAGAATGTGCCTACCTCACAGGGTTGTTGTGAGGACTAAATGAAGTAAAGTGTTTTGTCAAGCGTAACATTATCCAAATTGGGTATTATTCGTCTGAGCTTATTGTATAAAATAATGAGTTGAGCAGAAATCAAAAAGACTGTCACCTTTCACCATGTTGATTGTCGGCATTACTGCAGTATTTTATATTTACAGCGTATTTTTCAGCAAGCCAAGTATGAATCAAAATAAAAACATAAACACAGTATTTACAACCTCTGAAAACGATGATCAAATTATGATAGAAAATATGCCAAATGAAAATTGTTGAGTTAGGTCAGTAAGATTGAGTAGACAGATCCTTCTGATTTTTCTTTTTTTTAAATTAAGGTAGCTTTTCTGATTACAAAAGTAATGTATGTTCACTGTAAAATTAGTAATAAATTCAGATATTCCAAGAAAATCCTACCACTCCAATTACTGCAGTTCAGTCTTTTGATGAATATCTTTTCAGTTGTAATGCTACTTTGTGTTATAAAAATGATCAGGTATGCTACAGTAACACCTCATTCGTCCTGAAATGTTGCTTTTCCAAAGGGTAATAGAGAACGTGGAACTAAACAAAAAGGCTTTGGGACAATCAAAATAAGTCACCAAATTGCTGCACCAAACCACCTGTATTCTACTCAGAAAATAGGTCTAGGGTCTTCATGTAACCAATTTAACCTTACCTTAAAATATTTATAAGCTGTGTTACCAAATTTCCACTGAGATTAGAAAGGTGGGAGTTAGAGAAGAGACTGCTAGAGGCAGTTATAGTGACTGACGAAAACTTGAGGATGAGTAGGAGACTGTGTAACGAGAAGAAGCAACAAAAGAATTTTAAATACCAATGACCTTTATTTTTCCACAAATATTAGAACTATTCTGTCAGACACTGTGCCAAGATAAAAATACTTTCCTTTGGTGACAGAGCATAAAATTGAATCTAGTTGGAGACATTTGTTGAAGAGGCCTGTACATCTTTTTCTAGAGCAAGAGTAAGTAAACTTTTCTGTAAAGGGCCAGATAGTAAATATTTTAGGCTTTGCAAGCCGTATGTGGTCAAGGTCACATTTTTTTTTAACAACATTTTTTAAATGTAAAAACCATTCTTACCTCCCAAGCCTTACAAGAACATCCTGCAGGCCATAGTTTGCAGACATCTGTGTAGAAAGAACATTACTGTGTTTACAACACAATATAGCAATTGATTTTACTGGTGATGACTCTTTTCAAGAAAAGGTTATATGGTACTTACTAAATTTTGTATAAAAATAGAGCATGTATTTCACTTTAGAAAAAGTTTCATCAAAAATTCATAAAGTTGAGTTACATAAAGGAATAAACCTTCATCTAAAATGATTCATTCCATGGGAAATCCACCAAGCTAAATGTTTACCATGATTTTATGTGTGAAGTGGCAGAAGAGTAAGAAAACTAAAGTGGACCGGGCGCAGTGGCTCATACCTGTAATCCCAGCACTTTGGGAGGCCAAGGTGGGCAGATCACCTGAGTGAGGAGTTTCAGACCAGCCCAGCGAACATGGTGAAACCCCATCTCTACTAAAAATACAAAAATTAGCTGGGCATGGTAGCTGGCGCCTGTGATTCCAGCTACTCAGGAGGCTGAGGCAGGAGAATTGCTTGAACCTGGGAGGTGGAGGTAGCAGTGAGCTGAGATCGCGCCATTGCACTCCAGCTTGGGTGACAAGAGCAAAACTCCATCTCAAAAAAAAAAAGAAAAGAAAAGAAAATTTTCTCATACATCCTACCTGAATAAAAGTGTCAGGGTTAAAATTCAGAGCTACTTCCTTGTTACCAAACTGAGAGCTTTCTGTGAAGCTTGACCATCAGATACTAAAAATAACTATAGTACTTTGTGGGGTGGGGTAGGGGAGTGGTGTCAAAGGCCCATTTTAGCATCCGTCAGGGTTTTAAAGTCTTATTTCAGAGCTAGAAAAATTTGGAAATTATTTATTCTAGTCCTTCAGTTTTTAGATAAATAAACTGAAGCCCAGAGAAGAATTTCTCCTCTTGGCCATATTCTTTCCTTCATAAAATATCCAAGTTTCTTCTCTTCACATGAATCAGTAAAAATTTTACTGATGATTAGCAAAATCACTAGTAAAAATTTTACTGATGATTAGCAAAATCACTAGTAAAAATTTTACTGATGATTAGCAAAATCATTAGTAAAATCATCAGTAAAAAATCATTAGTAAAAACTGTATTCCCATATAGACTCTCTCTGCTAATTCCCACAGCTTTTCAACAAACTTTTCATGATCTCTCGTTACTTATGACACTGAAGATCTTTACAAAAATCTGCGTATAGGATTTTCATTTAAAACCCTGCATCTGTGATAAACTTGGGTGCAACTTTTCTAGTTACAGTTAGTATCATGATTATATTAGTTATCTACTGCTGCTGTAACAAATTACCAAATTTAATAATTAACGCAAGTTTATTTTTTTACTGTTCTGGAGGTCAGAAGTCTGATACAGGTCTCACTGGGCTAAAATCAAGGTGTCAGCAGGGCTGGGCTCCATTCTGGAGACTCTAGAGGAGGATCTGTTTTCTTTCCTTTTCCACCTTCCAGAGGCTGCCCACATCCTTGGCTCATCGTGGCCCCTTCCTCCATCTTCAGAGCCAGCAATGGTTGTTCAGGTCTTTCTCACATTACATCACTCTGATCCCCAGTCTTCTGGCTCCCTCTTCTACATTATAAGAACTCTTGTGATTACATTAGGCACAACCAGATAATTCAGAATAATCTCTTTATTTTATGGTGACTTATTAGGAACCTTAATTTCCCCTTGCCACGTAACAACATATTCACAAATTCTGGGGATTTGGATGTGGACATACTTTGGGAGAGGGGAGCAGAGAGTATGTTATTTTTGCTACCACAGTGGTTAAGCTTGAAGTAAAAAATCCTACAATATTTAGTTCTCAGAGACTCTTTGAAGCCTATCATTCTATCCTCACATTTTACAAGTGAGATAAGGAAGAGAGCTTCAATGACTTACTCCAAATCACACAGCCAGTAAGTGGTTACTTACTGGCTAGTAAGTGGCTAGTAAAGGCTACTACCCAGGTCTCCCAATCCTTAACCTTTCTTTTTTATTTTTTTAAATATATATTTTCTATTTTTTATTTTGTTAAAGATGGGCTCTCGCTATATTGCCCAGGCTGGTCTTGAACCCCTGGGCTCAAGCGATCCTCCTACTTGGTGTCCCAAAGTGCTGGGGTTACAGGCGTGAGCCACCGTGCCTGGCCCCAATTCGTACCTTTCCATTATATCATTCTACCTCTAACTCTGACTAGTGTTTATTGCCCTTTTCATCTACAGTACATTTGATAGCTTGTAGTCTGTACATTCATTGTTAACTTTATAAACTGATAAGGAATAACAACTAAGGATTTATAATTTTCAAGTCTAAAGATAGTATCTTTATTACTGTGCCTTATTCCTAAATTTAACTGTAACTAGCCTGGACACGCATGCCTATTCTTTAGTATCACTTCAGAAATAAAACTGCTTCAATAACTAAGCCCTTTTAGATGGCATCCAAGCCCAACTTACTTTATATATTACATTACTGTGTGCCAGACACTGCTAATTCAATCAATGAATAACCTTTTTTTTCATTTCTAATTTCAGTCAGCTATGAATAGTAAGTCGTATGTAGTAATAATTTTTAAAAATCATTAGCTCATACAGCATGGCAAACAATTGAAATTATTTAATACTCACTTATATTTTTCTCATCATCCTCTTCCTTCTTGAACACTCATCTCTAAAGTTACACATTACAAAGATACAAGGAATCAACCCTGGTCTTATGGGATATAAAGTCAAAGATTTTCCAAAGACAGATTTCCACAACAAAACAACAATGTGTGAATATTTTTAGACGTTAGGCTCATAGGCCTTTGTTAATCATGTTTTCATTAGTAAACCTTATTTTTTATGACCTGTATCACCCATTTTTTTAATTATTCATTCAAGAAATATTTATTGAATTTATACTATGTGCCAGGCACTTCCTGATGTGCAGAGGATACAGCAGTGAAAACACAGACAAAAATCCCTGCCTCATGAAGTTTACATTCTAGTAAGACAGTATCAGTAGAAATAAGTTAATTACATAGTAAGTTAGGTAAAAGCTAAGGAGAAAAATTAAACATGTAAGGAGGGATGGGAATAGGAAGTTTAGATTACTGGCTTCAGAAAGCCTCACTGAAAAGGTTATTTAGAGTAAAGACCTAAAGGAGGAAAGAAAACAAGTCATAATCTGAGGGAAGAGCATTCCAGGCAGAAGGAATAGTGTACTCAAAGGCCGTATTCAGTGAAGAACATGGAGTCCAGTATGGATGAAGAAGAAAAAAAGAGTCAGGAGACAGCAATCAGTGATTAAAGGACATTGAGTCATACTTTGGATGAGATGAAAAGCTAGTGGAGGATTTGAGCAGGGGAGTGACATAATCTTATTTTGATTATAATAGGATCTCTCCAAGGGCTATATGAGAATAAATAGCATGAAGGGGAAGGCAAATACAGAAGCAGGGACACAAATTCAGAGTCAATCCCAACAATCTAGGCAAGAAATGATGGTAGCTTGAAAGCAGTGAAGTGGAGAGAAAGCATCTTTCTATTATATTTTTGGGGTAGAGTTGACAGGATTAGTGGAAGTTGACCTCTATGAAAACGCAGAAGATTGTATGCAGAGAAAGTTGGGTGGGAGAGGGCTGTATCAGGAGCACAGAGTGGAATTGGGAGGGTTGAGGTACCTACTAGATATCAAATTGAGGAGGTGAAGAAAATAGATACAAGAGTTTGGATCTCAAAGGAGAGGTCCAACCCGGAGATATAAATTTCAGAGTCATCAGTGTATCAATGGTATTTAAAGCCATGAGGCTGGATGAGATCACTGAGGGTCTGACCTCCTAGGGCACTACAACATTTAAAGGATAAATTTTTAATAAAATTGACTTCCTGTCTCTCTTCAAGTCTCTCTGCAGTCCTAAAACTTGCTTTGAGACGTGCTTAATACAAACCTATGTTTATATTTCCATAGCAATAGACTCTGATGTCAACTAAAACTCTGTGTTATCTTTTTACATGCTGCCAATTAAAAGTGATGGCTTGAGAGATAAGACTCGTGTTCACCCAAGCATCTAAGCTTAATCCTGCCAAATCAGGAAATGAGTGCCTAATTTTCAAAAGGTTTAATTGGATAGTGGAATAAGTGAATTTAGAAGCTTTTAGATCCAAAGCGGATGAAGCATTGGACCTAGATTACTTAAAAAAAAAAAGTTATGGCCAGGCATAGTGGTGGCTCAAGCCTATAATCCCAGCACTTTGGGAAGCCAAGCGGGTGGATCGCTTGAGCTCAGGAGTTAAGACTAGCCTGGGCAACATGGCAAAACCCGGTCTCCGCAAAAAATACACAAATTAGCTGGGCGTAGTGGTGTGAGCCTGTAGTCCCAGCTACTGGGGGGCTGAGGTGGGAGGATCGCTGGAGACCCAGAGGTTGAGGCTACAGTGAGCCTCGATTGTACACTGTACTTCAGCCTGGACAACAGAGTGAGACCCTGTTAAACATAAAAAAATAAAAGAGAGTTATACTGTACCTATCAAAGTTTGTATTTGTTTGACATAATAGAGTACTTTGTAACTGGGACACAGGTTACAGAGTCAAGAAGCCTCTTGGCTTGTCATATTTAGAACAGAGAAATCTCTTTTACAGTCACATTTTCAAAAACTAAAAAAGGAATATTGATCCAAAAAGTATCATGCTTTCCCAGTATTCGAGGAATATAATATCCTTCATTATTCTTTCTGCTTCTTAAATTGGTCTGAAAAGTTGCTTATCAGTTACCAATCATTTATTAAATTAGTATTTTGTTAAACATAGTTGTGTCAACTGTATTCCCTAATATCAAAAGTAATCATTCATGGGAAATTTGGTATGTCCCTTTAATGAAAATATACATTAAAAAATTATGGCTGGGTGCAGTGGCTCATGCCTGTAATCCCAGCACTTTGGGAGGCCGATGTGGGAGGATTGTTTGAACCCAGGAGTTTAAGACCAGCCTAGGTAACAGGGTGATGAGACTCTGTCTCTTAAAAAAAAAAAAAATTGCATATGACAAAGAAAGAGCACCTACTGTGTACTATTACAAAGCAGTCCCTTTAGCAATCCATTCCTTTGCCAGCTCTCTGTGCCTTAGGCTTTTCATGTCTGTAACCTAAGGAGAACAAAGTAAGGTGGACTTTGTGATGAGTTTTGCTCTAGTATTTTGATGACTTGTTTATAATGCTGAAATACTTATAGTGTGCTAAACACTAAGAATACTGCAGTTAGGAGGCTGGGCGTGGTGTCTCACGCCTGTAATCCCAGCACTTTGGGAGGCCGAGGCGGGCAGATCACGAGGTCAGGAGATCGAGACCATCCTGGCTAATACGGTGAAACCCCATCTCTACTAAAAATGCAAACAACTAGCTGGGCGTGGTGGCAGACGCCTGTAGTCCCAGCTACTCGGGAGGCTGAGGCAGGAGAATGGTGTGAACCAGGGAGGCGGAGCTTGCAGTGAGCTGAGATCGTGCCACTGCACTCCAGCCTGGGTGACAGAGCGAGACTCCGTCTCAAAAAAAAAAAAAAAAAGAATACTGCAGTTAGGAAAACATGGTTACTGCTTGTCTTGTCTTAGTCCCTTTTGTGCTGCCATAACAGAATACCTAAGACTGGGTGATTTATCTTTTTTCACTTTTATTTTAAGTTCAGAGGTACATGTGCAGGTTTGTTATATAGGTAAACTCATGTCACACGGGTTTGTTGTACCCAGGCATTATTATTTTTTTTTTGTCACCCAGGTATTAAGCCTAGTTCTCATTAGTTATTTTTCCTGATCCTCTTCCCTCCTTTCACCCTCCACCCTCAGGTAGACCCCAGTGTGTGTTGTTCACTTCTGTGTGTCCAGGTGTTCTCATCATTTAGCTCCCACTTATAAGTAAGAACATGCAGTATTTAGCTTTCTGTACCTGTGTTAGTGTGCTAAGGATAATGGCCTCCAGCTCCATCATGTTCTGGCAAAGTACATGATGTCGTTCTTTTTAACAACTGTGTAGTATTCCATAGTGTATATGTACCACATTTTCTTTATCCAGTCTACCATTGATGGGCATTTAGGTTGATTCCATGTCTTTGCTATTGTGAATAGTGCTGTAATGAACATACACATGCATGTGTCTTTGTTACAGAATGATTTATATTCCTGTGAGTATATACCCAGTAATGGGATTGCTGGGTCAAATGGTAATTCTGTTTTTAGCTTCTGAAGGAATTGCAACCCTGATTTCCACAATGGTTGAACTAATTTACACTCCCACCAACAGTGTATAAGCATTCCTTTTTCTCCGCAGCCTTGCCAGCATCTGTTAATTTTTGACTGTTTAGTAATAGTCATTCTGACTGGTATGAGATGGTATCTCATTGTGGTTTTGATTTGTATTTCGCTAATGATCAGTGATGTTGAGCTTTTTTTGATATGCTTATTGCAAATAAAATAAAATGTATGTCTTCTTTAGAAAAGTGTTTGTTCATGTTCTTTGCCCACTTTTTAATGGGGTTGTTTTTTTTTCTTGTAGATTTGTTTAAGTTCCTTTTAGGTGCTGAATATTAGACCTTTGTCAGATGCATAGTTTGCAAAAATTTTCTCCCATTCTGTAGGTTGTCTGTTTACTCAATAGTTTCTTTTACTGTACAGAAGCTTTTAGTTTTCTTTAGTTTAATTAGATCTCATTTGTCAATTTTTGCTTTTGTTGCAATTGCTTTTGGCATTTTGCCATGAAATTTTTGCCTGTGCTATGTCCAGAGTGGTATTGCCTAGGTTGTCTTCCAGGGTTTTTATAGTTTTAGGTTTTACATTTGTCTTTAATTCATCTTCAGTCGATTTTTGTATATGGTGTAAGAAAGGGGTCCAGTTTCAGTCTTCTGCACGTGCCTAGCCAGTTATTCCAGCACTATCTGTTGAATAGGGAGTCCTTTCTCCATTGCTTGTTTTTATCTGTTTTGTCAAAGATCAGATGGTTGTAGGTATGTGGCCTTATTTTGGGGGCTCTTTATTCTGTTCCATTGGTTTATATGTCTGTTTTTGTACCAGTACCATGCTGTTTTGGTTACTGTAGCCCTGAAGTATAGTTTGAAGTCAGGTAGTGTGATGCCTCCAGCTTTCTTTTTCCTTAGGATTGCCTTGGCTATTCAGGCTCTTTTTTGGTTCCATATGAATTTTTATTTTATTTTATTTTATTTATTTATTTATTTTGAGACAGAGTCTCACTCTGTCACCCAGGCTGGAGTGTAGTGGCACAATCTTGGCTCACTGCAGCCTCTGCCTCCCAGATTCAAGCAATTCTCCTGCCTCAGCCTCCCGAGTAACTGGGACTACAGGCCCACACCACTACGGCTGGCTAATTTTTGTATTTTTAGTAGAGACGGGGTTTCGCCATGTTGACCAGGCTGGTCTCAATCTCCTGACCTCGGGTGATTTGCCAGTCTCAACCTCCCAAAGTGCTGGGATTACAGAGGTGAGCCACTGTGCCTGGCCTTATTTTTCTTGAGACAGGATCTTGCTCTTTCCCCCAGGCTGGAGTGCAGCAGTGTGAAAGTGGCTTACTGCAGCCTCAACTTCCAGGCTCCAGCAATCCCCCGACATTAACCTCCCAAATAGCTGGAACCGCAGGCACACACCAGCATGCCCAGCTAATTTCTGTTTTTTTGTTTGTTTGTTTGTTTGTTTGTTGGTTGGTTGGTTTGCAGAGATGGGGTTTTGCCATGTTGCTCAGGCTAGTCTCGAACTCCTGGGCTGAAGCAACCCACCCACCTCAGCCTCCCAAAGTGCTGGGATTACAGGTGTGAGCCATCGTGTGCAGCCCCATTTGAATTTTAAAATACTTTTTTCTAGTTCTGTGATGAATGTCATGGTAGCTTAATAAGAATAGCATTGAATCTGTAAATTGCTTTGGGCAATATGGCCATTTTAATGATATTGATTCTTCCTGTCCATGAGCATGGAATGTTTTTTCTATTTGTTTGTGTCATCTCTGATTTCTTCAATCAATATTTTGTAGTTTTCATTGTAGAGATTTTTCATCTCCCTGGATAGCTGTATTTCTAGGTATTTTATTTTGTGTATGTGGTAATTGTGGATGGGATTATGTTCTTAATTAGGCTTTGGCTTGACTCTTGGTGTATAGGAATGCTGGTGATTTTTTGTATCTTGATTTTGTATCCTGAGACTTTGCTGAAGTTGTTTATCAGCTTAAGGAGCTTTTGGGCCAAGATTATGGGGTTTCCTAGGTATAGAATCATGCAAATAGGGATAGTTTGACTTCCTCTCTTCCTACTTGGATGCCTTTTATTTCTTTCTCTTGCCTGGTTACTCTGGCAAGGACTTCCAATACTATATTGAATAGGAGTGGTGAGAGGAGGCATCCTCGTCTTGTGCTGGTTTTCAAAGGAAATGCTTCCAGCTTTTTCCCATTCAGTATGATGTTGGCTGTGGGTTTGTCATAGATGGTTCTTATTATTTTGAGATATGGTCCTTCAATACCTAGTTTATTGAGAGTTTTTAACATGAAGCAGTGTTCATTTTATGGAAAGCCTTTTCTACAACTATTGAGATAATCGTGTGGCTTTTGCCTTTAGTTCTGTTTATGTGATGAATCACAGTTACTGATTTGCATATGTCAAACCAACCTTGCATCCCAGGGAAAAGTCTACTTGATCATGGTGGATTCGCTTTTTGATGTGCTGCTGGATTCAATTTTCTTTTTTTCTTTTGCCAGGTTTTGGTATCAAGATGATGCTGGCCTCATAGAATGAGTTAGGGAGGAGTCCCTCCTCCTCAGTTTTTTGGAATAGTTTCAGTAGGAATGGTACTAGCTCTTCTTTGTACATCTGATAGAATTTGGCTGTGAATTCATCTGCTCCTGGCCTATTTTTTAGTTGGTAGGCTATTTATTACTGATTCAGTTTCGGAGCTCATTGTTGGTCTGTTCAAGGATTCAGTTTCTTCCTGGTTCTGTCTTGGGAGGGTGTATGTGTCCAGGAATTTATCCATTTCTTCTGACTTTTCTAGTTTGTGTGCATAGAGGTGTTTATAATATTCTCTGATGGTTATTTGTATTTCTGTGGGGTCAGTGGTAATATCCCCTTTAAGACTGGATAATTTGCAACGAACAGAAATGTGTTGGCTCGTGGTTCTCTCCACAATGGAGAGTCCAAGATCAAGGGCATCTGGTGAGATTGCTATATCATTCCATGGTAGAAGAATAAAGCAGGTTGAGGGGAAGAGAGAGAGGTAAAAGGGGGCTAAACTTGTCCTTTTATTAGGAACTCACTCCCTTGATAACAAACCCACTCCCATGATAATGGCATTAATCCATTCATGAGAACAGAGCTCTCATGACCTAAACTCCACTTAAAAGTCTCACCTCCCAGTGCCATTTCACTGGCAATTAAATTTCAACAGGAGTTTAGGAGGGAACAAACATTTGAACCATAGCACTGCTCTTGGGGAATTTACAGTCCAGAGAAGAAGGCAGACTCAAAAAGAGATTATTATAGTATGACATGGTAAGTGCCTGCAGGTTATGCGAGAGAACAGGGAAAACTTCCTAGAAGAGATGCCCCCGAGCCAAATTTTCAAAAATAAGCAGGTGGTAACCCAGAAAAAAAGGGGAAGGAAGACATTCCACCACTTGGGGTTACACACAGAAGCAAAATCATGGATGTGCTTGTGTGGTATGTGCTGAGGCACATATGGCTTGCATGGTATCTGCTGAGGCAGCAACCCTTGGGTCTTAGAACATCAGGATATACAGTGGTGATGAAAGGCCTAATCAGCCATGCTGAGGTGCTTAGGTTTTATTCTTTAGGCCCTGGAAACCAGTGAAGGGCTCAAAGTACAAGAATGACAGCCAGAACAACCCCATCAAAAAGTGGGCAAAGGATATGAACAGACACTTCTCAAAAGAAGACATTTATGCAGCCAAAAGACACATGAAAAAATGCTCATCATCACTGGCCATCAGAGAAATGCAAATCAAAACCATAATGAGATACCATCTCACACCAGTTAGAATGGCAATCATTAAAAAGTCAGGAAACAACAGGTGCTGGAGAGGATGTGGAGAAATAGAAACACTTTTACACTGTTGGTGGGACTGTAAACTAGTTCAACCATTGTGGAAGTCAGTGTGGCGATTCCTCAGGGATCTAGAACTAGAAATACCATTTGACCCAGCCATCCCATTACTGGGTATATATCCAAAGGACTATAAATCATGCTGCTATAAAGACACATGCACACTTATGTTTATTGCGGTACTATTCACAATAGCAAAGACTTGGAACCAACCCAAATGTCCAACAATGATAGACTGGATTAAGAAAATGTGGCACATATACACCATGGAATACTATGCAGCCATAAAAAATGATGAGTTCATGTCCTTTGTAGGGACATGGATGAAATTGGAAATCATCATTCTCAGTAAACTATCGCAAGAACAAAAAGCAAACACCACATATTCTCACTCATAGGTGGGAACTGAACAATGAGAACACATGGACACAGGAAGGGGAACATCACACTCTGGGGACTGTTGTGGGGTGGGGGCAGGGGGGAGGGATAGCATTAGGAGATATACCTAATGCTAAATGACGAGTTAATGGGTGCAGCACACCAGCATGGCACATGTATACATATGTAACTAACCTGCACATTGTGCACATGTACCGTAAAACTTAAAGTATAATAATAATTAAAAAAAATAAAAAATAAAAATAAACTGATTAAAGGCAAAAAAAAAGAATGACAGCCAGATTTATATTTCACGTAGTTCACTTAGTGCTAAAGTCAGATTTAAAAGAAGCCAATGTTTTAAAGGCATCAAAGGCATTCTTCTTGAAGACAGGAAGACCTATTTGAAAGGTAAAACAGTAGTATTCACAAATGTTGATGATGGTGCGAACTAGGACAGTAGTGCTGGGAATCAAAAAGAGGAAAAAGCTTAAAGAAATATTTAGGGGCTAAAATAGTTGGAAACAACTGTTTAGTAAAGTGGGCATGAATCAAGCATTCACTCTCTGATCTTTTATAAGGAAACACTAATGTTGAAACTTTATTTTCCCACATTGACAAGACCTAGAAGGTAGAGTCCTTGGAAAGAATCCCATCTTATGGAACAAAAGCATTCCATGCTTACTACTTTTATTGGGGGGGCAGGGGCGGTTATATTCCTTAAAAATCAAAATAAATGGTATCAAATAATTAAGAGATAGTCAAATTCTCTCTAAGGGAAAAAATCCTAATTTTGTTTTGAGATTTAAGAAAAAATACAGGTATTCTTTCATAATTGTAATGGAGACGCTAATGACAAATTTAGCTCAAAAAATTTACAAATATTAACTGGAGGCAATGAAATGACAGAAGATATAAACATAAAAAAGAATGTTAAAATACAAAATAGAATCTTCCATATACCAATACAGCATTCTTAGGGGAAAAAAAAAAACTACACAAAGCTCAACCACCCATGTAACAAAGATATTTATAATGTGTAAAGTGTTGTCGGGGACTTAGAGACTGTGGAACTAGAGAATATCAGAGTAGCAAAGAAACTTGAGTTCATTTTTGTGTTGAAATGACCACCCTGTTCATGTTAAATATAGGAAGCACAAGTCTAGAAAGAATTAACTGATTTTCCCCCAGCTAATACCTAATTAAGATTGGAGCCAGGATTAAAGTTTTTACCTTTTGGCTCTCAAGTACTAACACATTGTGTTATTGTGAAGTTTTGAGTAGCATTTCAGAAGTTTGACATGTACTGGATTTGCAAGAGACAAAGTGTTCAAAAGTGCTAGTAAGGACCGATTTCCTTGAAAAAGAAAACAAAGCTAATATTGCAATTATCAATATCAGAGTACTTAGTATTATTGTCCTTTAGAATTTTTTTCAGACCTGCAATTTTTATTATATATGCATAATATAACATTTACCATTTTTAATTTACAATTCATTGGCATTAAGTACATCCACATTTTTTTACAAACATCACCACTAATCATTTCCAAAACTTTTTTCATCTTCCTAAATGGAAATGATGTTCTTATTAAACAATAACTCCCTATCCCCTCCTCCCCTCAGCCCCTGGCAACTACTATTCTACTTTCTATCCCTATGAATTTGACTACTTTAGGTACATTATATAAGTGGAATTATGCAGTGTTTGCCGTTATGTGACTTACTTATTTCACTTAGCATAACGTCCTCAAGAAAGGGTAAGTGAACTTGAAGACATAGTAATAGAGATTATCTAAATTTAAGCATAAAGAAAAAATGCACAGAGCCTCTGTAACCTGTGGAACAGTCTACCATATGTATAATTGGAGTCAAAGTATCTCATATAGGTGGAGTCTTTGTAACTGGCTTACTTCACTTAGCATAATATTTTCAAAGTTTATCCATGTTGTAGCATGTTTCAGAATTTTCTTCCTTTTAAGGCTGAAAAATACTCCATTTATGTACATTACACATTTTGTTTATTCATCTATCAGTGGACATTTGGGTTGCTTCTACCTTTGGGTATTGTGAACAATGCTGCTATTAACATGGGAATACAAATACCTGTTTGAGCCCCTGTTTTCAGTTCTTTTGAGTATATACCCAAAAGTGGGATTGCTGGATCATATGGTAATTCTATGTTTAATTTTTTTGAGGACCCACCATATTGTTTTCCATAACAGCAACACTGCTTTTCCTTTTAGTTTCTTGCATCTTCTTTGTAAAGTCCCTATTCTGCATCTTACTCACCAAGCCTCCTTTTCTTATTTCAGTTTAGCCTATTTTTTTTGTTTCGTCTCCCATTTGTAATCCCTCTTTTATGTCCTCTTATGCAATTTTGCATCCCCATATGTATGTATATCTGTCATGTCTAAGTATACGTTTGTGCAAGAGGAAAAATGTGTCTGTACAGGCAAGGAGCTCAGTAAACCTCATACCTTCTCTGCCACCCTCAATCTCAGCCCCAGCATTTTTGTGGCCATTTAATACTCTGTTACGTAGAGATACAAAAATTTGTTGATTCAGTGCCCTAAATAAATACTTTTAAGTTGGTTCTGTTTGCTATGATGAACTTCTTTGAACACTTATCTTTTGGACTCATGTCTGTTTCCTTAGGTAAATTCCTAGAGCTGGAATTTCTAGGCCAAAGGAAATAACATTCTTGTTTTTGTTTTGTTTTATTTTGAGTCAAGGTCTAGTTCTGTCACCCAGGCCGGAATGCAGTGTTGCGATCGCAGCTCACTGCAGCCTTGACCTTCCAGGCTCAATCAATCCTCCCACCTCAGCCTTCTGAGTAGCTGGGACTACAGGTGCATACCACCATGCCCAACTAATTTTTATATTTTATTTTTGGTTGAGACAAGGTCTCGCCATGTTGCCCAGGCTGCTCTCGAACTCCTAACCTAAAGCTATCTGCCCACCTTGGCCTCCCAAAGTGCAGTGATTACAGACGTGAGACACCATACCTGGCTGGAAATAACATTTTTTAAACTTTTGAAATATATTGCCTATTTGCCTTCATAAAAGTTCTTCTGAAATACACTCCTACTCACAGTGTATGAAAAAGGCCTATTTCCTGGATTTTTAACGAACACATTACTAGTTGAGAGATGTTAAATGTTTTCATGTTTGATTACAAGAGGAGATGTTGAATGTTTTCCAGATGTTTGTTAGTTATTTGTGTTTCTTTTGTGAGTTGCCAGCCATGGGTCCTTTGTCCATTTTTCTGTTGGACACTCCTTAAGATTTTAAACAAGACAGTTCAAAGAAAAGAAAATGTAAAGATGCTGGTTAAGAGTTCTGCAGCAAAGAAGCTAATAGTATAAGAGTGAAAGGAGAATTTTAAGACTCTGGCTAGCATAAAATATTGTGGAAATATGGATGAGAGAGATTCTCAACCCTGGTTGCCCTTTAGAGTCAGTTAAACCAGCCTCTCCAGGGAGGGAATCCAGGCATCAATTTTTGTTTTTTAAACTCCCCATAAATTTTAATGTTCCACAGGGGTAGACAAAAAGTGACTTACTGATAAAAGCAGGAACTATGAAGTAGAGTGAATGTGACAAAATACTGTAGCAATTTGGAGAAATTAACCTTTAAGAGAAAGGGGTTGGAGTTATTCCTGATCAAGGGGAGTCATGATTGGCACAGATAAACACATCAGCGTATAAGTGGCATCATACCTGGTTATCCAGTCTCTCTGCTGTGGTAATACAGAGTCTTCACTCTTGACGACGTGTTGTGTCACATGATGCTGTCCAGTGATATCAGTTCTTGAATGATGTGAGTTCCGCCCAGGACAGTTGCCTCCTAGTTGAGTGGCTGCACCTTCCTCCATTCTGACAGTGATTGTACAATGTTAAAACTAAGCTGTAAGCTAAGTGAGGACAGGGTCTGAATATCTCCAGAACTTCACACAGAGTCTGGAATGTAGTAATTGTAACAAATATATGCGGAGAATGGACTGAGTATCATAAAAAGGATCTGAGATTATTCCAATTTCTTCCATAGTTATCATACTAAATCAAGATTTTCTTCATTGAATACAATTTTAATCACTTTTTAGTACTTTCTACACAGTGATGAACAACTTTTTTGTCATATGATCTTCAAGGACAAGTTTTCTTTGAATTGTAGAAGGTTCCTCTTATGACAACTGATTGAAGACACGTTTGAGGCCTTAAATTCTTCATATGAGCATTTAAAATATTTCTATCTGCCTTGCCTTACCTTCTTTATGATTTTTATATCACTAGTTTGACTTGGAGTGTTTCTTGTATACATACAGAAGGCTGCTATAAATTATCTCTGTTTGTATATGGTTGATGTGTTTTCTAAATAAAAGCTGAGAGTTTTGTTTTTGCTTTGGGTTTGGGGTTTTTTGTTTCAGGGTGTTTTGTTTTTTTTTTGTTTGTTTCCCAGATACATCACATATTAGGTACTGGCTTGTCTCTCATGGTCAAAAATACGTTCAAATGCAATTCTTCTGTATCATTGCAGAAAATAATTTGTGCAACAGTTTTTTAAGTACCCTTTAAAAATTATATTTTACATCTGGATTTTTACCACCAGTTTAAAAAATTACAATTCATACACTGTTATAGCAACAATATTGGTTTTTTCTGAGTTAGAGGTCTTCATTTTGAAGTGAGAAATACAAACCTACATTTTTAGTTACCTAAATTTTCAACCAAATACTCTGCCAAAAGTCTTTTAGAAACTCAATTTTAAAGTCCTTCAGGCTGTCTCAATGAAAATCATAAGCAGTTCTTTGGTATTCTGTCAAGACCATAAAGAAAATAGAGTATTATCTAAAATGTTTCTTTTAAGCCATTTGAAATTATCACAGTACCTTGCTCAAAGTAGTTACTCAGTGAACATTTGTGGAGGGAAGGAGGGAATGCTTGCATGCCACAGTTGCCCAAGAATAGCAGCTGTGTAGAATGTCTGTGTGGGGACCCCGATTCCAGCAGAACTTTAACCCTATTGACAGCTGCAACAAGGAAACTGCATTATTTAACTGGTTAGTTATTTGGGTTGTAATGAGCAGAGGATCATTTCAGTTACTTCAAGAATGGATACTTGTTTGCAAGGTGACCCAGAATTAGCTTAACAGCCAGGTCTCAGGAAGAGCAGGAACCAGGGAAGGTTCCTAGGAAATGGATTGTTCTTTAATTTTTACCCCAGTGCTCCATCATTACCCTGGCCCCACTGCCCTCCTCATGTGTGTTCCATACCCTCACTCCTCTCCCCATTTGCAGGCTTTCTCTGCGAGTATAGCACCTGCTCATTCCCAACCCTGCCAGTGTTTTGCCTTTACTGGCCTCCTTTACCCCTCTGCATCCATTCAAGCTTCTGCTTCCACCACAAATTGCTTCCTTCTTGCCATGTTTCTTATTTGATGGGTGTTCAGCTGTGGTGTTTCATATACATTCATTAAGCTAGGCTGACTTTCTGTCTGCTTGACGTTTTGCTTACCTAGGGAATTGCATTAACATCACCTACCGTGATGGTGGATTTGACAATTTCTTGTTGTTGTTATATATTTTTTTGGTTTTATGTATTTTACGGCTAATTTATTGGTTATACTTAGACTTGAATTATTACATTTTCCTGCCGAGTTTAACCTTTTTTCTCCCTTTCCTGTGGTGCTGATGAATTTAACCTTTTGATTAAAGTGAGTTACCATATTTTATCTGTCTTTGCCTTAAGCTTTTTTATTTTTTAATTTTTGGCTGATATTGATAAAGCTATCCAGGTTTGTTTTAGTTGCTATTTGCCTTGTATATCTTTTCCTGTCTTTTTTTCTTTTCACCCTTCAATGTGTCTCATAAACAGCGCATACCTGAATTTTAGTCTTTTGTTGGCTTGTTTTATTTATTAATTTTTTTTATAACTGCACTACTTTTTTCTTTTTACTAGAGAATGTAATCCAGTCACATTTGTTGGGAGTTCTGATTTATTTGAATTTATTTTAAATGTGTTACGTTACAATAAACGGCTCTTTAGAACACTATTTTTCAAGCTCATTAAGCCTGTAGAGCAGGGGTCCCCAACCCCTGGGCCACAGACCAGTACTGATCTGTGGTGTGTTAAGAACCAGGCTGCAAAGCAGGAGGTGAGTGGCAGGCAAGTGAGCAAAGCTTCATCTGTATTTACAGCCACTCCCCATTGCTCACATTACCTCCTAAGCTCCACCTCCTGTCAGATCAGCAGTAGCATTAGTTTCTCATAGTAGCGTGAACCCTATCGTGAACTGCACATGCAAGGGATCTAGGCTGTGCACTGGTTTTGAGAATCTAACGCCTGATGATCTAAGGTGGAGCTGAGGCACTGATGCTAGCATTGAGGAGCAGCTGCAAATACAGATTAACATTAGCAGAGAGGTTTGACTGCACAGAGACCATCATAAATCAACTGCTTGCAGACTTATATCAAAACCCTATCAGTGAGTGGCAAATGACAATTAAGCTGTATCTGGTGGCAGGCTTAACTTTATAGTGGCAAGTGAGTTGATGTACTTCAGTTGTACAGCTGCATCTGGTAGCAGGCCTTAAGTCAGAATCCAACAGTTATTTTAGCCCACACATGGCCCACCCATTATTTTATTTACCATGCCTCTTTCTCACACTGCACACTTGTCTCAGTCACAGTTTTGGTAAGCCCATGAGCTAATCCTAGCCAAATTAGTAAAAAATAAACGTCACTGGAGAGCTTCTTTGAAAAGGGGGGAAAGACCCAATGATGAGACAGCAGAAGACTTTTAAGACTGGCAACAAAATGAAAGCTGCATTTAAAAGAAAATACCAAGAGTCCTATTTAAATTACGGGTGCATTGAACCTGCTTTGTATAATATGTGGTAACTAGCTATCCAACGAAGCCATGAAACCTTCAAAACTGCTTTGCTACATGGAGACCAAGCACCTCGCATTAAAAAACAAGCTTTTGGGTTTTTTTGTTTGTTTGTTTGTTTGTTTTAGTGAACACGAAGAACAGAAGCAATCATTGAAGGCCACAGCTTCATCAAATGTGTCTGTACTGAGAGTATCATTGTTAGTGGCTAAATGCATTGCTAAAGCTAAGAAGTCCTTTACTGTTGGTGAAGAGTTGACCCTGCCTGCTGCTAAGGACATTTGTCTTGAACTTTTAGGAGATCTTGCAGTTAAAAAGGTGGCACAAGTTCCTCATTCAGCTGGCACCATAACTAGACAAATTGATGAAATAGCAGAGGACATTGAGGCACAATTGTTAGAGTGGATTAATGAGTCACTGTGATACGCAGTCCAGGTTGATGAGTCTACCGATGTTGACAAGGCAACAATGCTTGTTTTGTGTAATGTATTTTTCAGGAGGATGTGCATGAGGATATGTTATGTGCACTTTTGTTGCCAGCCCACACCACAGCTGCAGAACTGTTCAAGTCTTTGCGTGATTACATGTCAGGAAAACTGAACTGGTCATTTTGTGTGAGTATATGCATGGACAGAGTGGCTGCCATGGCTGGACAGCTTCTGGTTTCACTACTCACATCAAAGAGGTTGCTTCTGAATGTGAGTCTACACACCATGTCATCCATAGAGAAATGCTGGCTAGCCAAAAAATGTCACCTGAACTTAACAGCATTTTGCAGGATGTGATTAAAATTATCAACCACGTTAAAGTACATGCCCTTAACTCACGTCTCTTCGCACAGCTCTGTGAGGAGGTGGGTGCAGTGCACACATGTCTTCTCTCACACACACAAGTGAGATGGCTTTCTAAAGGTAGATCACTGATCAGAGTTTTTGAGTTACAAGAGCCACTCCGGAGATTTCTTTTAGAAAAACAGTCACCACTGGCAGCACATTTCAGTGACACAGAATGGGTTGCAAACCTGGCTTCCTTGTGTGACATATTCAACCTGCTCAACGAACTCGATCTGTCACTTCAGGGGAGAATGACAACTGTGTTCAAATTGTCAGATAAAGGGGCTGCATTCAAAGCCAAACTGGAATTATGGGGGTGACAAGTGAACATGGGGATTTCTGACATGTTTCAAACATTAGCAGATATTTTGAAAGAGACTGAACCAGGGCCTTCTTTCCCCCAGCTGGTGCATGATCACCTATCTCAGCTTTTAAAGGAGTTTGAGCATTACTTCCCAACCACAAAAGACCCCCCAGACTGGGAAGGAATGGATCTGCAACCCATTTGTGGATAAGCCAAGGTGAATCGACTTTGTCCGTGCTGGAAAAGGACCAACTGCTTGAGATCGCAAATGACGGTGGCCTTAAAAGTATGTTGAAACAGCTTCAAATCTTCACACAGTCCGGATTGAAGTCAAGGCATAATATCCAGAGACTGCCCCAAAAGCACTGAAAAGCTTGCTTCCATTTCCAACACCCTATCTTTGTGAAGCAGAGTTTTCTGCAGTAACAGCAACCAAAACGAGATTATGGAGTAGACTGGACATAAACAACACACTTCAGGTATCACTGTCTCCCGTCACCCCCAGATAGGACCGTCTAGTTGCAGGAAAACAAGCTCAGGGCTCCTACTGATTCAACATTATGATGAGTTGTATAATTATTCCATTATATATTACACTGTAATAATAATAGAAATAAAGTGCACAATAAATGGAATGTGCTTGGATCATCCCAAAACCATTTCCTCCCCCTGGTCCCTGGAAAAATTGTCTTCCACAAAACCAGTCCCTGGTGCCAAAAAGGCTGGGGACCACTGCTGTAGAGCACAGGTAAGTCACACTTTTTGTGGAATACCACAGAACATTAAGCTTAAGTTAACTATATTCATACTTCCCATGAAATTGTATGCTCTCTTCTGCTAGACTATAGGTTACATAAAGAATACTGCACTCGGGTTTAAGAAGAAAAGTTAAATTTGATAACATAGTGTCCATTCACTTAATGCCTTCTGAATTAAGTAGGAAAGGAGCACCATTATTTGGCCTTGCTGTCTCAGCATCTTGGTTCAGCTTGAAGAACACCAGTGTTCTTCAGAAGTATAATTACTATTAAATAAAAATTACACAATAAATTATAAAATCCTAAAATATAAATAGGTCCAAGGAGCTTTAGGTACATTTCTGGATAATATTTTGTAAGTTTTGGAGTCAGATCAACCTTGCTTTGAATCCTGGCCCTGCCATCTTCTACTGGGTGAACATGGATATGTTTTGTAATCTCTCTGATTTTCATTCTCCTTATCTGTGAAATAGGATCAAAATAATAATAACTTTCTCATGGGGTTATTGTAATGATTAAGTGAATTGATAGTTATAAAGTGTTTAGTGCAGTATTTATCATATAATAAGTCCTCTAGAAATATCTGCCATTATTAATGTATTAGTTATTTCAATTGGACTTACTATATTAGGACTCCCAAAGGAGATGATTGTCTGAGTTGAATTTTAAAGGATTTGAATGGATTAGCTCAGCTGAGAAGCAAAGGAAAGAACTTTCAGGCATAAAGAATAGGCTATGCAAAGATATTTGAAATACAAGTAAGATTTTAAGAATGAACAGTGTCAAGAGACCACGAGGAAAGCCACCATTCTTTCCTGTGTAACATCACCTAGTGACACACTCAAAACAAGAAGTGGTGGAAAGGGATGAAATATAGGTTGTTTTTAGTATAGAATTATTGTTTCTTATGCTCTTATATAAATGACTGTTAAGTAAATATTTGTGTGTTTTATGTATTGAATATCCAACATTATAGTCAAAATTGAAAGAATACCAATTGTCAAAGAAAGTAGCATATTGTGGTTAAAAACTATAGCAATGGAGTCAGAAGAGCTGAATTAAAAATTAGCTCAACCCCTAACAGCTATGTGTTTTTTTGATAAGCCAATACCTTTTGAACTCTCACTTTTTCCCTAAAACAGATGATGATAATGCCTACCCTAGATCATCTTACAAATATATTGTTAAGCTCAAAATAACATAATGAGTTCTTGATTATATATGATCACCAAAAATAGTAGATAAATTAAAATTTAATAATTGATTCCAGATTACATTATTTTGTCTTATGCTGATTTATCCTTCTAATTATATTTTGCTTAGGATAAAATTAAAATCTGTTTTTATTTCTTTAAACTACACCAGCAGATGGCAAAAAGATGTAACCCAGATAATTATAATGTAGTGACAGAAGTCATTCTGGAATTTAAAATTTACTATAATTAATTGGCAAAATAGAAAATAAAATATTGGTTTTGTAGTTATTTGTCACTGTCATTTTTATTATTTTACAAATGCATACTTTTCTTGTCTTCAGTGAATTTAAAAGCAGTTCATCAGGAACTTTTGACAAATGACTTTGTTCCACCAAACCCTTTCTGCTCTGTTTTTCAGCATTCTGATTTTCCCACTTTCCAGTTCTTGTACACATACCTTTGCCATCCAAAATAGTTGTCCAATCCCCACTTCCTAATCCCCTATACATACATATACATTTTGCCTGCCCTTGCCTCTTGCAATCTCTAATTCCAAAATTAGCTCATTCCCCACCTCCCTATCCAACCTTTTTTCTTCCTCTAGGACTGAGCTCAGCTGGAAGGAAGTATATATATATAATTATCCAAAAAGATTTGCTGAGCTTAGGTAGTATTTTAATTTTTATGTGTATGTTTAATATTTTGAGTGATAAGCCTCTCCTGACACCTTGTATACTCAGCCCTCCATGCCATACTGGAAGAATAAAAAGGATGTGCCCCTTTTCGTCCCCATTTTTCTGACCATATTCCCAACTAAGTTTATAAAGACTCCCGTCACATAACTTCATTTTCAATTCGGAAATTTCATAACTGGCTTACTTTTTCCCTTGGGCCTCTGTCATACATAGCACTTTTGCCCTGTTCTCACCCCATTGTATTATTTATTATGTACCTAGGCATCTGTCTTCTCAACTTTCTATAATATAATTTCTTTTAAGCTGTAGACCGTTCATTCAAAAATATTTACTTCTGCCCATGTTGGAGTAACTAGTGAGCATCCAGAGATCACTAGACATGCAAAGAATCAGGAAAATGTGATCTATAACCAAGAGTGGGGAGAAAACCACTCAGTCAAAATAAACACAGAAAAACAGGGATGGTGGAATTAGCAAAAAGGCATTTTTTTTTTTTTTGAGACAGGGTCTTACTCTGTCACTCAGGCTGGAGTGCAGTGGTGCAATCAGAGCTCACTGCAGCCTCAACCTCCTAGGCACAAGCAATCCTCCTGCCCCAGCCTCCCAAGTAGCTGCGACCACAGGTGCACGCCACCATACCCAGCTAATTTTTAAATTATTTGTAGAGACAAGGTCTCACTATGTTGCCCAGGCTGGTCTCAAACTCTTGAGCTCAAACAATCCTCCCACCTCAGCCTTTTAAAATGTTGGGATTACAGGCATGAGCAACCATGCCCAGCCAGAAAGGGATTTTAAAAGACCTGTTACAAATATGCTCAGTGATTTAAAGAAAAAGATGAACAGAAGAAAAATGGAAGATCTATAGATGAACCAAATTCCAGGTCTAAAAAATGAAAAATGCAATATCTGAAATAAAAAATCCACTGGATGAGCCTAATAGCAGAGTGAACATGACAGAAGAAAGGATAAGTGAACTTGAAAAACTAGTAAAAGAGATTATCTAAACTGAAGCACAGAGAAAAAAAATGCACAGTGTCTGTGACCTGTGGAACAGCCTACCATATATGTCACTGGAGTCTAAGAATAAAAGGAGAGAGAAGCAGAGAGGCACTAAAAGCGTTTGAAAAAATAATGGCTGAAATTTTTTAAACTTGATGCAAACTATGCAAACAATGAACATCCAGCAGGATGAGCATGATATAAACTACATCAGAGCACATTGTGATCAAATTCCTGCAAATCAGTTATAAACAGAGACTCTTAAAAGCATCCAGAGGTTAAGAAAAAAAAGGTACACATTACATATAGAGGAACAAAGATTGATTGCAGACTTCCTGTCAGAAACAAGATGCAAGTCAGAAGAAAATAAAATCTTTAAAGTGCTTGAAAACTAAACTGTCAACATGGAATTCTATATCTTTCCAATATAAAGGGGAAAGATAAAGACTTCCTAAAGACTTTTTAGGAAAATAAAAGAATTTATCACCAGAAAACTCACACTATAATAAATGTTAAAGGAAGTTCCTTTAGGTGGAACCAAAATGATTCCAGATGGAAACCCAGATCCACCCAAAGGAATGAAGACCCCCAGAAATGGTAAATATATGGGTAAATACAAAGACTTTTTCTTCACTTCTCAATTTCTTTAAAAGGCAATTGACATTTAAAATTAATAAAGTAATAACAGTATTGTGACGTTTACATCATGTGGAAGTAAAATGTATGACAATAGCACAAAGGTTAGGAAGGGGAAATGGAAGAATATGTAAAGTAGATTACATTTTTAAGTAAAGTGGTATGGTACTGTTTGAAAATAAAGTGTGATCAGTTTAAGATGCATATTGTAAACCCTAGATCAACCACTTTTAAAATACTAGGGGAAAAAATCAGCCAGGCATGGTGACTTATGCCTGTAATCCCAACACTTTGAGAGGCCAAGGTAGGAGGCTCACTTTAGGCCAGGAGTTCAAGACCAGCCCTGGGCAACTTACTGAGATTTGTCTCTACCAAAAAAAAAAAAAAAAAAAAAAGGAGGAGGAGAAGGGAAGGTAGAATATAACACACAAACAGGGAACGTAAAATGGAATACAGTTAATCCAAAAGAAAGCAGGAAAAGAAGGAAATGAGTATTGTAATGTCATGTAGTGATATTGCTATGAAGAAAATTGTTGGGAAGCAATGCTTCATGAATGTTTTCATGTTTCTGCATGATCAGGACTTTCTGAGCAAAGATTTCTGGCACCGGATTAAAGAATTTTGTTTGTTTGTTTGTTTGTTTGTTTGAGAAGGAGTCTCGCTCTGTCGCCCAGGCTGCAGTTCAGTGGCGCGATCTCGGCTCACTGCAACCTCCGCCTCCTGGGTTCACGCCATTCTCCTGCCTCAGCCTCCCGAGTAACTGGGACTACAGGTGCCTGCCACCACGCCTGGCTAATTTTTTGTATTTTTAGTAGAGATGAGGTTTCACCGTGTTAGCCAGGATGGTCTTGATCTCCTGACCTCGTGATCTGCCCACCTCAGCCTCCCAAAGTGCTGGGATTACAGGCGTGAGCCGTCGCGCCCGGCCTAAAGAATGTTTGAATGGCAAACAAGCCTTGGAAGTTAAAGACCTGTGGAGAGATTCAGAGACTTCTCCCCAAGATAATTTGTTTTCCTTCTGAAGGTTGTAAACCTAGAGACCCTCCCCTTCTCTCCCTGAGAGGATTTGTTTACAAAGCAAAGGTCAGTAGGTCATGTGCAGGTGATGCATGCTGCTTCTTCCCCCACCCCAGAGGGGAGAAGGAGCAGCAGCTGTGTGTGAAATGTCCTATATAGGCTCCAAAATTTACTATTAGGGAGTTATTCTTATCATGTAACCTTGTGGGGGACTGGAGAACTAAAGTATAAGTATTTAAATGCTGTCTCTGATTCAAAAACCTGGTTTTTTTTTTTCTCAGAATGAATGAGTCAATACTTAAAAATTATATTAAGAAGGGAGTGTCTCCTATAAGGTGGTCTGGGAAGTCCTCTCTAAAGAGGTAACATTTGAGCAGAGATGTGAATGAAGTCAGCCCTGTAAGACTGTAACATGGGAGAAGACCATATGTACTAATCTTTATTGTCTCTCTCATTGCCTGGTACACTTTTTCACACATAAGTAAGTTTTAAATAAATAGGGCTCAAGGATATGACATTGTGAAAGGCTGGTCACTTCTGGCTAGAGTGTTGTTTGTCCACTCTACAAATTCCAGAGTAGCTGCATCTTCAGACAAAATGACATTTTAGTCGCAGACATTTTAGCTAGGAAAAGATATGAGTTTCACGCCTGTAATATCAGTGCTTTGGGAGGCCAAGGTGGGAGGATTGCTTGAGGCCAGGAGTTCAAGAGTAGCCTGGGCAACATAGCGAGACCCCATTTCTACAAAAAAAAAATTAGTTGGGCATGGTTGTGTGCCCCCGTAGTCCTAGCTAATCAGAAGGCCAAGGCAGGAGGATTGCTTGAGCCCAGGAGTTCGAGGTTACAGTGAGCTGTGGTTGTACCACTGCACTCCAGCCTGGGCAACAGAGCAAGACCCTGTCTCTTAAAAAAAAAAGATATGGGTTAGTAATCAAAATCAGTTAAAAACTGCATAAAGCATAATTTATGTTTCATTACCTTAAATAAATAACATATACGTCTGCAAATGAAGGGTTAGGGAACATAGAATGAATTTTTAGTTGGGAGATTTTTTTACAGAGGTAGAAATAGATGTCACTCACTTGATTTTGAAATTACTCTCAGCCTTTTAAATGTGGCATATACAAATGCTGAGAAGAATAAATATGGTTGAAGAATACAGGCAGTAAGAATAATAAATTAGTGTAATGAATTTTAATTGGGTAATAATTAATAGTACAATCTCCTGTTATAGAGGCTTCTGTTGTCAGAAGCTTGCAGCCAAAAGGAGAAAAGATCAGTGCAAAAGCCAAAAAGCAACACATTTGGTGACTTTTGGCTGAAGCCAATATTAGCATGACCTCTTTGGTTGAAAGACTTTTCATCCCCCTATTACCGGGTCATTCCTTCCTTTGGTTCGAATAATCTCTGAGAATCTGTAAAAACCACATCATTGTCAAGAAGTTAAAAGCAATTGATAAGTTGTTCTGGTAACACCTGTCAGTGAATTAACTCAGAGCACAAAACCCAGGCATTTAAGGAGTTGACAAGTATTATTAAACCTGTTTTGCAAGAGAAGAAGCTGGTTCAAAGAGGGAAAAGCTGTCAAAAGTAATACAATCAGTAAGTGGCTCAGGCCTCCTGCCTGGCACACCCAGGCTCTAACCACGTGGCCTCTCATGGCAGGGAAGACTGGGGCCATGTATGAACATTTATCACTGTTCCTTTCAGTCCAACCTGAAGACATTGTGGCATTTTAAAAGCTATGAATTTGTTTTAAATTCAAATATATTTCTTAGGCATGGTTTTCTCTGTTCAGGTTTTCTCCCTCATTCAGAAATTTACACTATTTTTACCTTTAAATGGTAGTAACAATGTATTTCTACTAATACTGTTTCCTTTTCTTTTTAATTTGAGCAATTTAATTTTTCTGTCTTTGACACTCTGTTAAACCTCTTTTTTTTTTTAATTAGAACAAATCATAGTAATGCTTTCATCCCAGGAGACGGTGCTTTGTGCAGATGCTTTCTTGAACCTGAACATAATTTCATGATTTCAATAAGGAAGAAAGATAGGAAAGTCTCATTCAAATTAAATTAGGATTTATAATTCAGAAATGCTTCTGCCTGTTTGTAACTAACTTCCTAGTTGCTCTCTCCACTCTTCAGTTTATTTACTTTATAAAAAATTAAATCCGCCATAAACTGTCTTAGTCTGGGTTTAACAGAAACCAGAGCCTAAGACAGAGGCTTAAGTGCACATAGTCAGTTAGCACTATAACCCCCGAGTCAAGAGCAGGGGACAGGGAAGAAGGAAGAGCGTATACAAAGGTATTTGACATTTGCAAGTTGACCACTGGCTGCTCAGTCCTTCAGGACAGTCTGAAGAGACAGAAGCCCAGGGGTGGAATGAGAGCAGCATTCAGTAAGGCTCTGTTAGGTGACACCTGCGAGAAGCCAGCTGGTGCCCACCAAGAACTGGTGGCTAGTAAATGAGGCAGAGGCCACGTGAATCTGATGTAGTGACAAGTGGTATCGTATAATACACTAAAATATTCTTGTCGTATGTATTTATGTGCATAAGAATATAAAATAACACACAAACTTTTAGTCCCCACCTTTCTTTGTGAATACCTGTCATTTAACTTTTCACTTTTTATGCATGTACATATCATGGGAGAACATATACCTATATCTTTTTCCTTTTAAATAACATAAATCAGCCAGGCACGGTGGCTCACGCATGCAATCCCTACACTTTGGGAGGCCGAGGCAGGAGGATCGCCTGAGTCCAAAAGTTTGAGACCAGCCTGAGCAACATGGCAAAACCCCGTCTCTATAAAAAAATACAAAAAATTAACCAGGAGTGGTGGTGTGCACCTGTGGTCCCAGCTCTCTGGGAGGCTAAGGTGGGAGGATCATCTGAGCCCAGGAAGTTGAGGCTCCAGTGAGCCATTTTTGTGTTCCACTCCAGCCTCAGCAACTGAGCAGACTCTGTCTCAAAAAAAAAAAAAAAAAAAAAATCAGGCCAGGCGCCATGGATCACACCTGTAATCCCAGCTCTTTGGGAGGCTGAAGCAGGGGGATCAGGAGTTCAAGACCAGCTTGGACAATAAAATGAAACCCTATCTCTACTAAAAATACAAAAAAAATTAGCTGGGCATGGTGGTGCATGCCTGTAATTTCAGCTACTCGGGAGGCTGAGGCAGGGGAATCATTTGAACCCAGGAGGCAGAGGTAACAGTGAGCCGAGATAACACCACTGCATTCCAGCCTGGGAGACAAAGTGAGACTCCACCCCCCCCCCAAAAAGAAATGGAACATACTAATCTCCTTATTCCGTGAATTATTTTCTTCACTCGTGTATTACTTGCATCAGGGTTAGGTTTAATGCCATTGTCAACAAGTTGATTTTGCCTTGTAGGAGATACATCAGGACACAGTGATGAACATTTGTTGAATTAGTGCATGAATGAAGGAATATATGACTTCTAGTTACAGTTCTTGCTTGTGGAAGAGGAATGCTGCTGATACTGGGAGTGCAGTGGGCAAGATCTGGTAAAATATGGAGTTGTTATTGTCGGACAGTTGCCCAGTCATCCCTGCCAGTCTCCCCCTGCTTCCCTAATCAACACCTCCACATCCTCATTTCAGAACAGGAATAGATGCTATACGGGGGAGACACAGAAAAGAGACAAAGGGAGGCTGGGCGCGGTGGCTCATGCCTGTAACCCCAGCACTTTGGGAGGCTAAGGCAGGCGGATCACTTAAGGCCAAAAGTTCGAGACCAGCCTGGCCAACATGATGAAACCCCCTCTCTACCAAAAATACAAAAATTAGCCTTGCCTGGTGGCGCACCCCTGTAATCCCAGCTACTTGGGAGGCTGAGGCAGGAGAATCACTTGAATCAAGGAGGTGGAGGTTGCAGTGAGCCGAGATCGTGCCACTGTACTCCAGCCTTGGTGACAGAGAGAGACTCTGTTTAAAAAAAAAAAGAGAGAAAGAGAGACAGAGACAGAGACAAAGGGAGACTCTTACAAAAATCTGTTCAATCAGCAAATATCTGTTAACCTCGTGTCAAGTGACAGACACATTGCATAAAATGGAGAACATGACAGACTTGGTCCCTGTCCTCATGCAGGGAAAGTCTACAGTTAAGGGAAGAAAGAGACAAGAGTAGGGGAAGGATGCAGAAGAAAAAGAGGAGAAATTAGTAAAATACCAAAAGAGTGAAGAATTTCAGTGATCACTGAATTAATACAATGCTTGTGTTAATAGAAGTTGTTTAGAAATGAGTTTAAATCCCAGCCATCTGCTCCCACATCAAACACACCTACTGTACCCATGATTTTGCCCTTCCCCCACATATATATATACATCCCAGTAATAATCTGGTGATTTTTAAATGAATTCTCACAGTTAGTAATAAAAATTACACTTGATTCAAACCAGTGAATTGTAACCCAGATCTAAGTATAGATGTAGTGGAAATCATAAGTTTCTTTAGTGACAGTCTTACTAATCAAGTTATTTGGCCTGTTTTTAGCCACATGGTATATTTTTTCTTTTTCAGGTTGCTCTGAGTGTTGTTTGTAGCAGCATCAGTAAGCCAAGAATTCACATAGTTACTCAATCACACAGATTACTCATCATTGCCTGTTCATAACAGAATCCTAAGATGTTTAAGATTTCTAATGCAAATCAAAATCTCATCATCACTTGTCATTGCTAAATTAAATGACAGGATAATAACATTACATTAAAACCATTTTTCTCTTGATTGAGTACCTTTTTCAGAAGTGAACCTTCTAGATGTATATTTTTTTTCATCAGTACTATAAATGCATTTAGAATCCAAGATAAAAATAGAATTTAAAGGGGAGGAGTGGGATGTTTTCAAATTATTGATGAGGCTCTTTTGAATCTCAACCATATTTGACAGTGTACTGCAAGGGAATGGAGTAGTTCAGCTCAATTTATTGACACTTTTAGAGCTATATAAAGGAGGTTAACAGGTTGAGCTTGGTCTTTATTGAAGCAATCGTGTGTTCTTAGCATCAGTTATATGTCATCCCGTTGCAAACTGGCTGTTAGGACTTGTCATTGCTCTGTTCTAATATAAGATACTGACTTCAGATAGATCACAACCTATGTGGAAAATTAATATAAATTTCTAACCTGTAAAAGCAGTGTAGGTTCTCAGTGGCCTTACCATTGTGAACTTACCTCTTTACCTTTCTTTCCTATCTAAAGCTAGTTAACCTTTTTTGGTCACACCTACCCTCTTTTTATCTGCTCCCTCTGGCCCTTGGCCCACTTCTCTGTGGCCAGCTAGCCAGTGTTCGTGCCACCTGAGCCCATCTTCTTCACTTGCCCTAGAACTCCCCAGAATGCCTCTTTCATTTTAAAGTCAATCATTTCCTTCCATCCTTCAAATATTTTATTTCCTCACACCTTCCATCTTTAATAATATGAAATATAAAAATCTTACCCTGGATCAAACCTTTTATTCTTTTTGCCTCACTTAATACTATCATCATTAGGCAATAATAGCATTATGGTAAAAATTCTTACCTCTTAGAGAAGCTGATGAAGGTATTGACTCAAACAAGATTGGCTATGAAACAATAAGTATTAAATTATTAAATCTGGATGATAGGTGAATGAGGGAAAGGGAAGCCAGTATGCTGTTTTCTCTACTTTTATAGGTTTGTAATCTTCCATAATAAAAATTTAAAAATAACTTAGCTCTTTAGTGTTCCTTTTTTAAAATAGACACCCTTTTTGAGTGAGCACGTGAAATGATGTGGTATGCAGGATGGACTAAGACTAAAACCTGATCCTGCTCTCTGAACACCCCACTCTTACTCTACCCCTTAGTAAACAAAAAAGATTCTTTAGCACCTGGAATTGTAACTTCCCTCTTCTCCTTAGGTCCTGTACTTGATTATCAGAATCCTGGTCTGGTTTAACACTTCCTGCTTCTTGGTTTAACACTTCCTGCTTCTTGTTAAAGTGACCAGATAAACCCATATAGAAATATACATTAATTTCATCCCATTTATTAAATCCCACTGTGAATAAAGTTCTGTGCTGGCATTAAGAAAGAGAATATGAAGGAAAAGTATTCATGAATAACCCTGATGCAGTACAACACTAGCCACAGTAGTGGTCTCTAGGAGAGAGAGAGGAATTCTGTCAAGGAGACTCATTCTTGATAATGATGCAAACTACTAAATGTCATCCTAAAGGAAGAGATAATCTTCGTTGCTTCTGCTTATAGTTCTAATTGTTAAGACTATTTAGAGCTCTACCATATAGCCTTCCCTCTCTTCTAAAGAACTTAAATTGATTACAGTTACCAATATGCTTTTTTCTTCTCTTTTTAAATTACAATAGTCTTACTTCTCGTTTGCCAAAAACTGGAGAAACCATCCATGGACATAAGTTTTTTATTGGCTTTGGAGGGAAAGGTGCCAACCAGTGTGTCCAAGCTGCTCGGCTTGGAGCAATGACGTCCATGGTGTGTAAGGTAAGTACAAAGTATAGTGGAGAGGACTCTAGAGGTAAGAATCTGGTTTTAAGACTGGAGTTCATTGTTTTTAATTTTTTCAACCATTTTAGAGTGAACAGTTCAGTGGCATGTAATACATAGAGTGGCATTTAATACATTCAACCACCACTTCTGTCTTGTTCCAGAACTTTACCATCATTCCAAAACAAAATCCCTTACCCCTTAAGCAGTTCCTCCTCATTCTGTCTTCCCTTTAAAGCCCTGGGAACCACCAGTCTTCATTCTATCTCTATGGATTTATCTATTCGGGACATTTCATATAAATGGAATATATATTATGTGACATTTTGTACCTGGCTTCTTTCACTTAGCATACTGTTTTTGAGGTACAACATTGTAGCATATATCAGTATTTCCTTCCTTTTTGTGGTTGAATAATATTCCATTGTATGGATATACCACAATTTTTTTATTCATCAATGAATGGATTGATGGACACTTGGGCTGTTTCCACCTTTTGGCTGTTATGAATAGCAGTGCTACTAACATGCATATACATCTACTTGAGTACCTGCTTTCAATTCTTGTGGAAGTTTATTGTTTTTAAAGATCTAAATAACAGAGAATAGTCTCCCTTGTCCTTTATACTAATTTCTACCTCATTGAATCCTCTGGGAAGTAGCAGTTCTCAAATAACTTAATGCTGCATTCCCTGAATGTAATGAGTTTGTAACTGGGGTGTGAGAAGTGAGGGAAATTAGCGTACTCCAATGGGTTTCTGTCATCCAGCTTCTAAACAACAGCATGAGTCACCTTGTTTTTAGCAGGTTTCACCGCAGCAACACAGCTTTTGGAAACTTCTTGTAATAACCGGTGATTTACTCATCTCTAAGTCATTTTCTTCTAATGCTGTATCTTAGATCTGAAAAGAATCTGGGCCTTAATGAGCTACATATAACTGAGCTTTTGGCATAGTTTTGTTTTCATGTATGTAGAGATATGATATTGTAACATACAGTATTCCTATTTTTATCCATGCTACCGAAATAATTTGAAAATAAATGGGCTGCCAAAAGTTTTCACTTTTCATTTTTCATGAAATTTTAAGGCGCTAGCATTATAGCATTAGTATAACAGGAAAGGTAGATGATTGTGTTTCTTTGATTTTTAGGGAAAGCCAGCCTGTGTCTGCACATTATTAAAGGGCAAGAAAAATACAAGGAACTTAAAAGAATGAGCTTTCTCCTGTGAACTATGTAGATTTTACCAAAAATTCTCGAAATGTCATTTTTCATTGCAGTCAGCACTTTTCTCTCCACAGGAGTTTTAAATGATGTATAAACTATACAATTATCACTCCATCTGCTAGTAAACTGTAATTTTATTTCTAACCTATGATTAACATAATTTTCACATGGCTATTTGGTCAAAAACATCACGTGAAGCATCAGATTCAAAGCAAGAAACCCTCTTTTGCTAAGATTGAGCTCTTGATAGATTTAAAATATCAGTGTAATTAATCAGCAATTAATTATGTTCCAGGAATTATGGGTCTGTGAGAGGTGGCTGATTAAAAACTTAGGCCTGACCCATCTCATACCTGATTAGCTATGGAGCGTTTGGAGAGTAATCAGATGGTGCTGACTTAATTAAGAGGACCTGGGAACTGGAAAGAGGATGATATAATTTCCTGTGTAGGAAAACTTGGACATAGAATTGGCGTTGGAAGCTATGCACCCAAAATGGCTTCGCTGGGAAGAGGGGAGTTCCTAGAGCTGGAGACATTAAAGGAGAGATTAGAGAACCCCTCTCTTGGATGTTTTATGGAAGCTATTTATGTAGCCATTAAAGTCAAGATTGGATGTCCCCTGGGATCTCTTCCAACCCTAAGATTATGAAATTGATTTTATTTTAGGTCTGTTGAATTTGAGGCAAAGAAAGAAATGACAAAGAGAAATATTTGAGTTATGGAACTGAACGTGGGAAATGAATCCTAAAACCATATGAGTGGATAGGAGAGGAATAGAAGCAGGGGGCTGTATTTTGGGAAATGTTCCAGTTAGGAGGTTGATTAAAGCAAAGGTACCATTTGTGTGTGATGGTTTATGTTAGCATCTGTACAATTTTGAAAGTTCTATACATCTACCATGCCCCTGATTTAGTCACCTAATGCTTAGCACCACAGTGGATTTTAGCCTGTGTGTCTGCCTAGCAGAGGATCAAAAAACATGACTGCAGCTAAAACCTATCCAGGGTAACTTTGGTTAGATAACTTGGAACCTTTAGACATGGAATTATTTAAAAGCTTAAGCAAATTGCATAATATTCTCAGACTTCTTAAAAAGAAAATCATATATTTTTGTAAAAGAAGTTATTATCTGTCCATTAATCATATTTTATCCATTGTGAGATACATTTTTATTAAGCAAATTAGCCAAACTTGCTTTATAGCAGTTTTTTAAAGATGACAAGTTCTAAGTAGAAACCAAAACCATGAAATTTATCAAGATAAAAATGAACAGAAGGAGCAAAAGAAAAACAGGTAAAAATTTTCTATGGCTTTCTCAGCAAGATTTATTTACCTCTTGCTACCTATAACAAACTAAAATTCAAACTCTTATGAAGTAAGATTGATGGCCCAAACAAACTTATATTGAGCTAGGGAGAAATATTTGTTAAGATATTGTGACAAAGAATATTAAATGAGTTACCTCATTATTTATACAGTGATACATGTATAATGAAACACTTCAAGTACTTAAGAGTTAGTCAGTATTTAGCTGAGTCATGGACCAAAGCTACAGTCTAGTGATAACTGGAGATGGTATTTTCAGATTTAAAATCCTGGCAGATATTGTATAAAATGAAAGTCTTCCTCCCAGGGCAAAGAGCCTATTAGGACATCTTTCTTAAATCTTCACCTGAGTTAAGTGTTTCCTGCTCCATTCCATTGAAGCCAAATGTTAAGAAGAGGAAGTTATTCCTAAACATCAAAAGTTGGCAGTTCAGGAGAGGACCATGGTCAAGTAAGGAACTCAAGATGCACTGGCCCAGTATGAGCACAGAAACCATGAGCAGGTATGAACCCAAATGACCCAGGTCAGGAATCAGCAAACTGGAAACACCTTCAAGAAATTACCCTGTCTTGCTTCCTTCAAATGTGAGACTATCAAACTATCCTTCAAATATGAGACTATCCTTCATATATGAGACTATCAAACTCTCTAATACAGGTAGCTATCTGTTTTCCCTTCAGAACCATCAAGCATGAAGTTTTGTGACAGAGGTGATACTGATGCAGGCTGCCCTGAGGGGCTTAGCCAAGGAGGGTTCTTGGCTTTGCCCAGGCAAGAATTTAAGAGTGAGCCAAGGATAAGAAAAAGCAACTTTGTGTGGTGGGGGGGCGGGGGGTAGTAAGAACACTTAACTTGAGATCTACCTTCTTAAGAGCATTTTAAGCATACAATAAAGTATTATGAACTATAGGCACGATGTGGTACAGCAGATCTCTGGATCTTATTTTATCTTGCCAAATGGGCAGGAGGAAACTTGGAGGTGATGGATGTTTATTACACTGATTGTGGTAATGGTTCCACAGATGTATGCATGTATTCAAACCCATCAAAATGTATACATTAAATATATGCAGGGTTTTTATTATAATTATATCTCAGTAAAGCTGTTAAATATTAAAAAAAAAAAAAAAGAAAAAGCAACTTTGATTGAACCAGTGCTGCAGGGCTAACTGATAGGCTATGTGCCCAGAGGGTAGTGTATGGGCTGTTAGCAACTATATTTACATGTACTTTAAATTATATGCTAATTAAGAGGCAGGTTATTCAGAACTTTTTGGAAAAAGGGTGGGGAATTTCCAGAACTATAAAAGGTAACTTCTGGGCCATTGCCATGGCATTTGTAAACTATCTTGGGTCCAGTAGGAGTGTCTTGTGCTAATGAGCAGTGAGAGCAACTAGAGGTCACTTTCCTCTTTTCAGCCAGCGTCTTCATTGCACCATGTTTTGACCAGATCCTGCTTCCACCAGCAGGGTCCAACTGGAAAATAAGACCTGCTGGCCTCCTAACTCGGTACATTAAGGTGGTGCTGTTCAAAGTCCAGTCCTCAGGCTGGTGCCAGGCTGCATGCAGATTGTCACCGGTCCAAACAGCACAGGAATTGAGAGTAAGCAGTTAGGATCATTTATAGCAATTTGACAGAATAACTTTACAACCGTTGAATATAATAGTAATAATAAATTAGGCCTTGTAGTTTGTATGACTCTTTTTTGTTTTCATCTCCTTGTTATTGTATTTTATAAAATTGTTAGTCCACAATGGATTGAAAACAAGAAAAGGAAAACAAGGCCAGTGCTTCTCCACGGATAGCTTGAAAAGCAGTGCATTAGAGTATCCATCACCTTAACCAAAAAGTACCTTCTGTGCTAGATTACTGTGGGAGAATCATCTGATCATGCATTGAGATTTTCATTTTCAGAGATCAAAAATTAGTCACCAGGTCTTTCCAGGTAATATATAATGAGGTGAAATCTGTCCTTTCCTGAACTCTGTTGAAAGACAGCTAGATATAATTAGTTGGCTATGTTGATTGGAATGCTTAGCCATATGTTCAAACAAATGATCCTATAACCAAGCAAATAATATAAACCTTGTATAGGAAGAAATGGTAGAAATGAGAGAAAATAACTGGATTATCTCAAACCTATCACCACTCTCAGATAATCAGGCCTAATAATGGTGATTGCAGCATTAACTTTGTATATTAAAGGTCTTTATTTTTTTCTGAGACAGGATCTCACTCTGTTGCCCAGGCTAGAGTGCAGTGGTGCAATCTGGGCTCACTGCAGCCTCAACCTCCCCGGGCTCAGGTGATCTTCCTGCCTCAGCCTCCCAAGTAGCTGTGACTACAGGCATATTCCACCATACCCAGCTAATTTTTGTATTTTTTGTAGACAAGGTTTTGCCATGTTGCCCAGGCTGGTCTCAAACTCCTGAGCTCAAGCAATCTGCCTGCCTTGGCCTCCCAAAGTGCTGGGATTACAGGTGTGCACCACCAGCCCAAAGGCCTTTTTTTTTTTTTTTTTTTTTCAGAGACAGGTTGCCTGGGCTGTAGTACTACGGTGCTACAGCTCACTGCAGCCTCAAACTCCTGGGCTCAAGCAATCCTCCCACCTCAGCCTCCAGAGTAGCTGAGACTACAGGCATGCAGCACCACACCCAGCTAATTTTTTAATTTTTTGTAGAGATGGGGTCTTGCTGTGTTGCTGAGGCTGGTCTCGAACTCCTGTCCTCGAGCAGTCTTACCACCTCAGCCTCCCAAAATGCTAGGATTACGGCATAAGCCACCATGCCTAGCCTAAAGGCCATTATTAAGGTAAACACCCCTTTATCTAGGATTTAAACAACCAGCAAGCTTTAATAACTGAGATTTTATATATTCTTCTTATGTATTTTGTTATAAGGCCACAAATGACAAGTTAAAAGTTAATATGAAGGATTTATTCAAAAAAGCAACAGCTGGGTTTTGTATGACAACAAATGCAACTTAGTCTCCTCAACCAGCTGTTCACTATAACCCTCAGGCACTGAAAAGTGACAAAATGTCTTCAGTTGCAAGGATTAAATTATATTCATCTTAGTTTTAGTGTTAAACATATTTTCTGTATTCTAATGCTTTGAAATCGGTAACCTGTTTTAATATATGTGATAACTTCTTGAGCAGAATATTCAATTTCATGTGGCCTTGGGTAGGATGTTTTGATATCCTGTGTTTTATTTACCCCAAATGTATGTTGAGGAGTAGAATTACTAGATGGTTTCTGCCATTTGAGGATTCCAAGCAGCCTAAACAACCATTCCTCAGTCATTTTGCAAAATAGAAGTTATGATGCTGACTGAAGTTGCCCTCCTTAGCTTCAGGTCATAGTTCTGGACTCTGGAAGCCCTCCCAAAGCTCTTCTTCAATGCAGAAAGATCCCTCCCAGTGATAAGAGTGAAGGAAGCACCTCAGTCCCCTTAGCTGAAGAAATGCTCTTGTTCCTCATACACCCAGCCCTTTTGCTTTCCATGACCCTTGCTGCATTGTCAAATACAGAAGCCACTAGCCACATGTGGATATTTAGATTTAAATGTAATCAAAGTTAAAAAATTGAATTCCTGTCACACAGTCTGTATTTCGAGTGTCTGTATTGGGCAGAACAAATAGAAAACATTTTCTGTATTGGACAGCACAGATATAGAACATTTCATCATTGCAGAAAGTTCTATTGGATGGCACTACTCTACAATATTCAGGGCGGAACTGAGCCTGGGATTTCCAAAGAGCATGTTGAGTTCTGAGAGTTCCCTTTTGGCTTATGTGCAGGTGCTTGTCCATAGTTGCTCTTGACCTGGCTTCCTTCACGTGGAACAAGTTAACACAGACAGGTTATCTCAGACTATGCGGGTTTCCAAGAATCTTTCTACCCAAAAGTATTTCACTGCTGTAGTCAAAAGAGTGTGAGGGTGCCTTCAAGGAGGCTGTTGGAAACAAAACCTTGTATGGAACCATTCTAGAATAGTTTGGGTGCTTGTAGTCATGTTCCTTCAAGAATGGAACATGACAGCCGGGTGTGGTGGCTCACGCCTGTAATCCCAGCACTTTGGGAGGCTGAGATGGGCAGATCACCTGAGGTCAGGAGTTCGAGACCACCCTGGCTAACATGGTGAAACCCCATTTCTACTAAAAGTACAAAAATTAGCCAGGTGTGATGGTGCACACCTGTAATCCCAGCTACTCGGGAGGCTGAGGCAGGAGAATCACCTGAACCCAAGAGGCAGAGGTTGCAGTGAGCGGAGATCGCACCATTGCACTCCAGCTTGGGCAACAAGAGCGAAACTCCGTCTCAAAAATAAAAAAATAAAAAATTTAAAAAAAAAAGAATGGAACATGACTACAAGATGGGTCCAAGGAAAATGAACAGAAGGACAACTAATGTGATCAAATCCTAAAGAATCTCCAGTAAGCTTTTAAGAAGACTAGACTAACAAATATGAAATCGCCAACAATATAAGATGGTATTGAACTATGGGCTTGATTAGGAATGTCATAGGAGGTGTGGAGATGAGAGGATTAACAAGGGCCAGAGTAGGGAAGGTAGACCTTAAGCTGATACTTGAAAAACAGGTGAGGTTTGATTTAGTGGAGGAGAGAGGGCAAAGGACTTCTAAGTTCTCAGAAATGATGGTAAGGAAACAGACAGGTTTCTTTCTATTGATATATCCAGAAAGGAACAATTTTCTGTGGAAGAATAGAACACACCAGGAGTGACTGAAACCTGGATTGAGACATAGTCCATTGAAGTAATGCTCACCTGCAGGACAGAAAAATAGAAGTTCAGTTCAGAAGTATAGTTCAGAGGTAGCAAGACTAAAGGCCTACAGGAGCCAAGCAGGTAACAGAAATTGCAGTAGGCTAGGTGAAGCCAAGAGTCTATGAGCACTTTAAGGCACTCACCTCTCAGTTCCAGGTGGTTTGCCTTGCAGGAATGTGGACCCAGTGTTACCAGAACCTCTGAATTTTCAGAACCCCCTGGACATCTGTCTGTTTTTGTGAAGTCTTCTAATATTTAAGTATTGAGAACTGATAAAAATAGCAGGGCATTTACACCAAAACCTGCACACAGATATTTATAGCAGCTTTATTCATAATTTCCCAAACTTGGAAGACATCCTTTAGTAGATAAATGGATAAATAAACTCTGGTACATCGAGACAATGGAATATCATTCAGCCCTAAAAAGAAATTAGCTATCAAGGCATAAAAAGACACAGAGGAACTTTAGTTGCATATTACTAAGTAAAAGAAGTCAATCTGAAAAGGCTGCATACTGTGTAATTACAACTGTATGATATTCTGGAAAAGGCAAAACTATGGAGACAAAAGATTAGTGGTTGCCAGAGGCTAGTGGGGAGAGAAGGATGAATATACAAAGCATAGAGGATTTTTAGGGTAGTGAAACTATTGTGTATAGTACTATAATGGTGGGTATATGACATTTTACATTTGTTAAACCCTATAGAATATCCGACACCAAGGGTGAACCCTAATGTAAACTATGGAGTTTGAGTGATAATGATATGTCATGTAGGTTTATCAGTTGTAACAAAGTACCACTTAGTTGCAGGATGTTAATAGTGGGGGATACTAGTTGCCGGAGGAGACAGAGAGTATATGGGAACTCTGTACTTTCTACTCTCTTAGGCTGAGAACCTAAAACTGTTTTTAAAATAAAGTCTAGTTTTTAGAAAACAGTAGTAGGGCAAACAAAACATATCTAGCAGTCAGATTGAACTTTCAGCCCACCAATTTACAACCTCTGCTGTAGATTCAACTGTAGAGTTCAAGCCAAGGTCCAGCCAAGGTAGCAGTCAGACAAATGGTTAGCATTAGAGGGGTATGGGAGAAGATAACAAGGGTGTCCTGACTAGCACAGTGATTGCAGCACCACGGAGGCCAGAAACGGACAGTAGGGAGATGTCGATAAGATGCCAGCATTAGTATCAAAGGCCTTGCAATCATAGTTTTCTGGTTTTGAGCCACAGACCTAAAGGCCTGGCCCCTGCAAATGGCTGGCCAGGCAGAGAAGAGTGCCTGTTCTGAAAGAGCTAGAGGGCTAACCAGATGATTAGGATACACACTCATGCTGACAAAAACAGGGGAGATCCAGTTACCAAAGTGGACCACAAAGCAAGAATGTGGTCACAGGATCCAGTCACAGACAAAGCTACTTAAATTATAGTTCAGTGGTTCAGGGTTACACTAGGCACTAGGCTAACTAGCTTTTTCTTTTCTTTTTTTTCTTTTTTTCTTTTTCTTTTTTTTTTTTTTTTTTTTTTTTTTTGAGACAGAGTCTTGCTCTGTCGCCCAGGCTGGAGTGCAGTGGCACAATCTCAGCTTACTGCAACCTCCGCCTCCTGGGTTTAAGCAGTTCTACCTCAGCCTCTCAAGTAACTGGGACTACAGGCGTGCGCCACCACACCCGGCTGATTTTTGTATTTTCAGTAGAGATGGGGTTTTACCATGTTGACCAGGCTGGCCTCGAACTCCTGACCTCAGGTGATCCATCCGCCTTGACCTCCCAAAGTGTTGGGATTACAGGCATGAGCCACCGCACCCAGCCTGAAGCTAGTCAGGACTTTGTTAATAACAGACAATAGACACCCAATTCAAAATAGCTTAAGCAAAAAAAAATAAAATAAAATTTTTAAAAAGAATGTATTGCCTCATGTAACTGAAAAGCCCAGTGGTAGAGCTGGCTTCAGATGACTTAGGGTTCCATTAGGCTATTAGGAGTCTGTGTCTGTTTGTGTCTGTCACCCTCCTGCTTTCTGTTATGTTTCTCTCTTTTCTTTCTAGCTGTCTCCACATGGTGAGCCCCAGTGGCTGCAGGCTTACATTCTCTTATAGCCAGCAATCTTACTGGGAAGAAAACTTGTCTTCCCTGGTAGTTTCAGTAAAAGTCCCAGGACTGAGTCTTATTGGACTAGTTTAGGTCACATGCTCATTCATGAACCCATCACTGTGACTAGGATGGTGGAACACACTTTTTTTTTTTTTTTTTTGAGACAGTCTCACTCTGTCACCCAGACTATAGTGCAGTGGTGTGACCTCGGCTCACTGCAACCTCCACCTCCGGGTTCAAGCAATTCTCCTGCTTCAGCCTCCCGAGTAGCTGGGACTACAAGGAACATGCTTTTTAATCAGGCCTGGGTCCCTTGGCCAACCTAATCTTGTTGTCTATAGAATGGGACAGAAATAGGTGTCCAAAGGAAAAACTGAAATACCTTTAACAGAATAGATGCTAGGATGCAAAAACACAATTCCATTATACCAAGTTACCCAAGTTAGCTAGGGCCTTTAAAATTTCCTTCTCTTTGCCTCTATGTGTCAGTGTCAAGGGAGAAGATAAAAAGATTCTGGAACATCAGGCAAGTCATGACAAAGATACCCATATTTACAGTGAAGTACAAACAGCTGAGATTCTTCATAAATATTGAGGATTGATGATGGTAGATAACTCTATCTCAGTGGGAATTATCACATGAACAGCTCAAAATGAGAATGACTTAATGAGTGATGTTCATTAAATACTTCACATTTTAAGTAGGATATAAGTGAAACATTATATAACAATTCTTTGGGCTGCAATCAAGTCTAGCATCTTATATTAAGAAGATTAATTAGTTAATGTTTATAAAGTACTGTGCAGATATGCCCTTTTAAAATGCTAAGTATTCTAAAAACTACATTGTAGCATTTTACTAACTCTAAAAGATCTAATATTCATTATTTCTTTGGTACAGGTTGGCAAAGATTCTTTTGGCAATGATTATATAGAAAACTTAAAACAGAATGATATTTCTACAGGTAAAATTCCCACCTTTTTTAAAGTTAGTGTTTATAGCTTTTTTCTGTGATTTTGTTATGAGAAAAATTGAATCTAGAGGAGGATTATTAGACCTTCCCCTGGTGGCCAGAGAATTTCTATGCACAGCTTTGTCCATTCTTGCTTAAATGTCCTTGGGTTGATTCTTCCCTGTACATTCCTCCAGATGGGAATAAAATGATAGGAGGTTACAAACCTTCATCTCATGAACATGTGACAAATGACAAGGAGAAAAAGGTGCTGCATTCACAAAAGATGTTTTAAGAATGTTATAGCTGGCAACAATCATTAGAAGCCATACAGGCTGAAACCATTATTTCACAGAAGAGAAAACCGAAGGTCAGAGATGTTCTGTGATTTCTGCAAGAGCACACAGTTGGTTGGAGCTAGAGCCAGGACTAGAATGAAGATCTTCTGATTCCAGTTCAGGGCTCTTTGCTGCTACCAAAGGCTGCCTGGTCAACATTTCTGTTTATATGCCAGACCTTGGTTCTTGGTGAAATAACAAGCTTATGAGAATGAAAATAATCAAACAAGTTCATTTTATAGATTTGACCTTTACTTTTTATCTCAACTCTGACATTCCTTTCAATGAAGAACATAAGTGTGTTGGTCTAGAAAAATGCATATGTATACAATTATGAATAATTGGGGGGAATCGAAAGTAGGAGCAGTTTGGTGGGTTGTTACTAATGCAGAGAAAAGGTGCAACTACATGTAAAGCTGTCTATTTTTCTTGTTGTATAGATGATGGGTATAAATTAGCACTAATTACTTATTTTTTTTTATCATTCCAGATGGTTAAAGGTTAAAAAGGTTTTCCAAGGATTAGTGTTGTATTGAAATTGTTAAAATAAATTATCCATGCCAGCCTGTATACATGTGATTGTAATTTTCTTTTTTCTTTCAGAATTTACATATCAGACTAAAGATGCTGCTACAGGAACTGCTTCTATAATTGTCAATAATGAAGGTAAGTGTTTTGCATATTGGAGTGTCATTTCATAAGACAGTGTATTTCCAGAGTTAGATCAGAAGCATCAATTTTTACCATAATCCTATGGACCTCTTACTATACCCATCACTCCAAGGCCTAAAACATAGTTTTTCCAATCCAAATATAAATGTGTTTCCCTTTATTTATACTTCTCACATGGATCGTTCAGATAAATTTTTGGACAATTTTCAAAATTGTCAATCCAATATATATGAAGTTGCCTCAAAATAATATGTATATGCTGTAATGTCCCCATTACCCTTCATGTGAACTTATAATTGACATTTGTCTCTAAAAGCAGTCAAGCATTCATCTGTCATTTCAGTTACACTAGGTAAGTATATGTAAATAGGTGCAAAGAAAAGTTTGATGAGTCATATTTATAGAATATGTTCTGAGCAAATGGCAGCAACTAATTACATCCAACTTATCGTTAGTGTTCAATTTTGTCTTTCAACAGCAATCAAATCTCAAAAGTCTATATATACAACTAAGTCTGCCACAAGGCTTTGCCATAGCTGATACATTTATCTTTTAAAATAGTAATTGGGCCTGGCACAGTGGCTCACACCTGTAATGCCAATGCTTTCAGAGGCTAAAGTGGGAGGATCACTTGAGGCCAGGAATTCAAGGCTGCAGTGAGCCACAGTCCCACCACTGCACTTCAGCCTGCGTGACAGAGTGAGACTCTGACTCTAAATAAATAAATGCATGAGTGAATGAATGAATGAATGAATGAATTAAAACAGAGGCTGAGCGTAGTGGCTCATGCCTATAATCTCAGCATTTTGGGAGGCCAAGGCAGGTGGATCATTTGAGGTCAGGAGTTCAAGACCAGCCTGACCAACATAGTAAAACCCCATCTCTACTGAAAATGCAAAAACAATTAGCCAGGCCTGGTGGCAAATGCCTGTAATCTCAGCTACTCAGGAGGCTGAGGCAGGAGAATCGCTTGAACTCACAAGGCGGAGGTTGCAGTGAGCCAAGATTGGGTGACTACACTCCAGCCTGGGCGACGACGGAGCAAGACTCTGTCTCAAAAAAAAAAAAATGGTAACAACCTTCAAGTCAAGTTTTCATAATTTCTGCCAACTGTTTTAATTATAAAAACGCCTACATAAGTTTTTTTAAATCAGAATCAATATTCAGAAGGACCAAGCATTTCCTGGGGCACCTAGGACAGAACCTCATGTGTTGTGGACAGCGTGCTTGTGTTAAATGAGGATTTGTCACAATGTGTCTTTTATTTATAATGCAGCTTTGCAGCATCATTTCTCACAGAAAATATGGTATTTTTAACTCGGCTTTAGTGATTCCAAGTAGCAATAATAACGATATATTTCACCTAAAGGTGGTAGATAAAAGTTTGCATTCTAACTATAGAAAGCCTGTGTTCATTTAAGCTACATTTTAAGTAACTATTCCTGCCAACAGCAGCTCATTCCTTGTCTTAAACCTCTTTTGTTGTTGTTGTTGTTGTTGTTGTTGTTCTAGGACTATCCTCAAGTTCTCTTTCTTATCTATGAACAAAATCTGCATTTTCCATGCAAAGATATAATGTCATAGTGTGTGTCAAGTGCCTATTTGGTAGACCTTGCCTGGTTTACAGTGTACGGTAATGCCCTCAAGACTATAGGTGGTAATAGAAGAATTAGGACAAATACACAGAGATGGGACAATCAGCTCCTTTAAATGAAGGAGTGAGTTTGCAAGATAAAGTAATGAGTTTAGTTTTGACTAGTTAAATTTGAGGCATGAATAAGCTAGCCATATGGCATTATCCATCAGACAGCTATAGTCTTGGGCTTGCTGCTTAGCAGCTAAGGCCAGGCCAAAAATTTGGATCTGGGAGACAGCAACATGGAAGCAGCAGCTGACTCCAACAGAGAAAATGAGGTCACTGAAGAAAAGGAAGGAGAGATGCTGTCTTTCAGCAAGTGGGAACTTTGAATTTTTCTAGGACTGAGGTTAGGTTTATGCTGAACCATCCCCACTTTATTAAGTCTTCCTCGTGGCCAACAAACACATCTGTGGTAAGATGATAGGATAGAATTTGTTCTGTGTTGAGAGGTGATTTTAGGTCATGTCTGTACAAGATCAGCACGAGCAGCCCGGAGCACAGAAAATGCCTGCTACAACTCATTCCTCCAGATCAGTGTTGTCCAATAAAAATAAAATGCAAGCCTCGTGTGGAATTTTAAATTGTCTAGTAGCCACATTTTAAAAAGTAAAAAGGAACAGGTAAATTTAACTTAGGCCATATATTTAACCCAATATGTCCAAAATATTATCATTACAGTGTGTAATCAAAAATTTATCTTGGCTGGGTACGGTAGCCCACACCTGTAATCCCCGCACTTTGGGAGGCCAAGGCGGGTAGATCACATGAGGTCAGGAGTTCGAGACTAGCCTGGCCAACATAGTGAAACCCCATCTCTACTAAAAATGCAAAAAAAAATTAGCCAGGCGTGGCGGCACACCCCTGCAATACCAGCTACTTGGGAGGCTTAGGTGGGAGAGTTGATTGAACCCAGGAGGTGGAGGCTGCAGTGAGCCAAGATCGCACGACTGCACTCCAGCCTGGGCAACAGAGTGAGACCCCAAAATTTATCTTAATTTTTTTTTAATTTTTAAAATGGTAAGAATAAATGGATATTTTACCTTATTTCCTTTGTACTATCTTTGAAATCCGCTTGTATTTTACTTGAAGCACACCTCAGTGGACTAGCCACATTTCTTTTTTTTTTTTTTTTTCTGAGACAGAGTCTCACTCACTCTTGCCCAGGCTGGAATGCAATGACACAATCTCAGGTCACTGCTACCTCCGCCTCCCAGGTTTAAGCGACTCTCACGCCTCAGGCTCCTAAGTAGCTGCGACTGCAGGCACATACCACCACGCCCAGCTAATTTTTGTAATTTTAGTAGAGATGGGTTTTCACCATTTGACCAGGCTGGTCTTCAACTCCTGACCTCAAGTGATCTGCCCACCTCGGCCTCCCAAAGTGCTAGAAATTATAGGTATGAGCCACTCTGCCCAGCCAGGACTAGCCACATTTCAAATGTTCAATGGCCATGTGTGGCTCGTGCTCATGACTACCATGTTGGACAGCACAGCTCTTAAGGGTTCACCTTACAGATGAAATGCACCACCACCCCTGCCTCATTCAGGTGGGATTATAGACAGCAGGTCCAAGTAATAAGAATATATCAGATTCCTTAGTTCTGTTTCTGTTTGATCCATTATAGTATAAGCCAGGTATCCCTCTCTCCTCTATATCTGATACAATTTTCTATCTGTTAGATATTTAAAATGTGTTTTGATTGACAGAATCACTTTTTAGAATACCATAGGGTACACACATGAACTGCTTGCATACTACAGTGTCATACAAGTTTATTCCTATTTATATTCATCTCTATGGCATCTGTCATTTAGGATTCAGAACCTTTACCGCATACATATACTAGCTATTTTCTATAAAAGAAATGTTTAAAGTATGTTATATGTCATTTCTCAACTAATATTCTTTATATATAAGAATATTGGGAAAATCTTTTTAAGATTTTGCTTAAGGTGATCAGAATAATGTGCATCTTACAGAGATATTATAAAAGATACATTTGGAACTCAAAGTTCAAGCTGAATAACCTAGAAATGCTAAAATTAATACTTAATAACACATTTTGTATAATGACTTTACAAGGGCGATTGTATTCATAACACTGCAGAATATCATTTGCTTGGCTTTGTTTAGTTTTAATATAATAGGTGGAATTTCTTTATAGGCCAGAATATCATTGTCATAGTGGCTGGAGCAAATTTACTTTTGAATACGGAGGATCTGAGGGCAGCAGCCAATGTCATTAGCAGAGCCAAAGTCATGGTCTGCCAGCTCGAAATAACTCCAGCAACTTCTTTGGAAGCCCTAACAATGGCCCGCAGGAGTGGAGGTAATTATACATATTTGTCATTCTTTCTATAAAAGCTTTTATCGCTGTCTTAATTAAAGTTAACCTTTTAAGTTAAGCAAAGCAATACTCTTTCTGTCGTAAAATATTCTTTCTTCCATCTGTGAGATTCACAGTCTTGTGGTTCTTGATAATGTTAGAAAACCTTGCAAACAGGGTAAAAAAAAAAACATGAGTAGCATTTCCGATATCCCGCAATATAAATCTTCAATGTAGCTGGCAGAAATGGTACAAGTAGAATTAGAATTCCTGTAATTCCAGCTACTCAGGAGGCTGAGGCAGGAGAATCGCTTGAACCCTAGAGGTGGAGGTTGCAGTGAGCCGAGATCGCTCTGCTGCACTCTAGCCTGGGTGACAAGAGTGAGACTCCGTCTCAAAAAAAAAAAAAAGAATTCCTGAATCAGCCCCTTGTCCAAGGTACACTCTAGGTGGTGAAATGTTTTCTACTCTGAGAAGCAGAGGTTAAGCTGCATGTCATACATACAAATACATGCATACATACAAAAGTAACTGGGGCAGCCCAGTTACTTTTTGACAAACATCTCTAGGAATTGAAGATTAGGTTTTTTCTCCTTTTTGTAAAACTTTATCATCTTTCAATAAACAACAAAAGATTATTTATATGTAATATTTTCTATGTTATCAATGTCCATTGACATTGCCTCTTTTGTTTTTGATTTTGGAAATTTTCAAACCTACAAAAGCAGCAGAATTGTACAGTGAAATCCATCACCCAGCTTCCAGTTATCAACCTGTAGCTAATCTTGATTCATCTTTTCTCCCACTCACTCCTCTTTTCTCACCTCCAGCAAATAACAAACTTTTTAAAAATCCAGATGATTTATTTGTTTGCTTCCTTTTCACCACTGACTAGTGGGGAAAGCATCTTCTGAATTAGAATCCCATTTCTGTCCCTTGTCAGCTTCGTGGTCCTAGCAGAATTACCTGATTTGTCTGAGCCTTTTCAGTAAAATGCATATAGAAATACTCCATCTGCAGAATTGTTCTCAGGATGGAATAAAATAAAATAGGATGCCAAGCATGGTGTAGTACATGGTGGTAAATCCCAATTTTTTCCTCTTCAATCCACTTCTCTCTTTAAAGTTAGGATAATATCCTGATCAAGCATCATTTGGTGAAAAAAATCAAAATAAATAGTAGCCACTCTAACATGATGACTTCTTGATATTGTGGCAATAGTTCTGTGATTTTTTTAAAGAATAAAATAGAGAACCACACTGACTATTTCTCAAGATACAAAACTAAAAAGAAAAAAGAAAAAGAACAGTGTGTGTGTGTGTGTGTGTGTGTGTGTGTGTTTATATAAGTGATTTCTCCCAAAGTGTGTAGTGTTCTACATAGAAATAAATGGAAAATAAGTCACTGAAATGATTTTGTGGAGAATTTTAAAATGTTCGTCCTGATTTAACAAATTTTCCTCTTGGCAAAACAACATGCTGTGGTAAATTTTCCCTGACATTTAGTGTATTTTTAATGGACATGAAGCTGTCAGAAAGAATTCTAAGCCAAAACCCATTTGGTTCCATTTTCTTGGAGTGTCACAGTAAAGTCTAATGCTTATGGTTACGCATTCTCTGCACCGTGCCCATCTCAGCAGAGTGATGTGAATACAGGGTGCCACCCTGCTCCTGCTCTTGTCTTTCTTTGTATAGATCAAAGCACATTCTCGTGTAACTTCTCTTTTTTTCCTACTATCCCTTACTGCTCAGAGATCACTGTTCCCTCTGTCCTAGTCTAGTTGCCTGTTACCTACCCTGCTTGTGAAGGAGAGAAAGATACAGCAGCCACAGTTGAGGAGCTAACCTTTCACAGGTGAGAATAGAGTAATCCGGATGGGCAGGCAGCCTACCCTGGGGCTGTCATTGGGTGGGGTCCAGAAAGGCTTCCTCCATCACCTTCCGTGTAGCTCTTCCAGTTGGGAGCTGGAGGACCCAGGACAGCAGGAAGCGGGGTAGGTGACAGTGGGCCACAGACCACTTGGCCTACTTCACACTTTTATTAAGAGCCAGCATGCCTTGGTATTAATTCTGCATGAACTTCCTTATATAATAATAGCAGAAATAGTAATACCATGCATTTATATGTACTTTACATCTTATAAAGTACTTTCGTACACATTTTACCCTCAGAAAAACCTTATGACAAAGATATGGCAGGCATTGTTCTCTCAGATTAAAGGTGAGAAGACTGAGACTGAGAGGTTAAGTCATTTGTTCAAACAGTGTCGCACTTTAAGTTGAAGAAACCATGATTTCAGACTCTAAGACCCAAGTTCTGTCTCCTAGTTTAAACCACACTTTAAAGTGCCACAACCCATTGATTCCAACAAACTGAGCCTTTATGAAGAGTATCTCTAGAAAAGTCAAGTCCATAAATTTTAACACTGTCCAGCACGTGGCCTAAGCTTTATGTGTTTTTGCTGCTCAAGAAACAGAGAAGAGGCTCTACAGTGTTTTCAGCACTGTAACCCCAATAGAACTTACACACACACACACGAACACACATGCACACAAGCACACACACTCATGTGTCCATTACTCCTCCAGTCCGGTGGCTTTCTCTGGCCAAGTCAGCTGGTCCCTATTTGGTAGATACCGGCCAGATGCAGCTTAGATTCTATTCCATGAGGAGGGTGTGTGTGTGTGTGTGTGTGTGTGTGTGTGCGCGCGCGCGTGTGTGTGTGTGTGTGTGTGTGTGTGTAATGCATCATCATTCTCATATGCAAGAAGAGTGGTATCCCAGCACTTTGGGAGGCCGAGGTGGGTGGATCATGAGGTCAAGAGATCGAGACCATCCTGGCTAACACGGTGAAACCCCATCTCTACTCAAAATACAAAAAAATTAGCCGGGCATGGTGGTGGGTGCCTGTAGTCCCAGCTACTCGGGAGGCTGAGGCAGGAGAATGGTGTGAACCCAGGAGGCGGAACTTGCAGTGAGCTGAGATCGCGCCACTCCACTCCAGCCTGGGTGACAGAGCGAGACTCCATCTCAAAAAAAAAAAAAAAAAGAAGAAGAGTGGTATAATGAAAGGAGACCATTGGTTTGGGAATTGTGAAATATGGCTTTAAATTCATAATCAATCAGCAAATGGGGGATCTCAGTCAAGTAAGTCAGTTCCTCACTCTGGACGTCATTTTCTTCTTCTGTGAAACCAGAATTGGGCTGACAGCTCTCACAGTTCTTTCATGTCACTTTGGACTGATCCCAGAGCAGAGTGGGCTTAATGATCTCTTGAGCACTGAGCACCCTACCCACTGCCCCAGGAAGCTGCCTATGTGCTGAACAGCATTATTCCGTCTTCAAGAACGATGATAAAGTCTTCATCGTCATCATCATCTATGGGTTTTCTTATCACAGTTCCATTATCTTTACTGCTTACAGGTAGTGAATTTTGAATTAAGCACATTGCATAACTAGATTATGCTAATATATCAGTTATGAAAATCCAGAGGAAAAGATCCCTACATCTTTGAATATACTGTCTCAAAACTCTCTGTCGCTATCAAAATGAAAGCATTGATTTTTAAAGACATAGTAGCTACAACACCAAAAATCGGTAGCCCTGTATAGCCACCCCCATCCCCACCAGGCCATGAAGCTATGAGGTAGGCCCACTGAAGAGCCAGTGCTGCAGCTGCTTGTGATGAAATTATGCATGTTGGTTCTGGTCTTTATATCCATTTCCAAGCAAATGGAACAGTACATAAACAATTATAAATAATTGAGATTGTAAAATTGCCAAAGTTAAATTATCAGTATGATACAAAGTATCTTTTAATGCCACTTCAGTCCTTTTGCCTTTGGCAAACAAAACTTCTTATCTGGCCATCCAGACTTTCACAATGACATTGTCCAGCACATAGCCCAAGCTTTGAGTGTTTTTGCTGCTCAAGTCACAGAAAAGAGCCTCTAGAGTAATGGACAGCAAAGCCAGTATTTTGAGTGTCCCAACATGCTCACAGTGTCTTCACTCAGGGTGATTTTCTTCCCCGGTTTCTCTGAGCTAATAATTAGGGCCTTCCTAACTGTCCAGCCCCTGCCCTCCGTGACAACACCATAAAGAGTTTCTGCCTCATTTTCCTGCCTTTTAGCCTATACAACTGCTCCTCCAGGCCTCACCAGTTCCTTATTGACATTATTGTGCTATCCATTAACATGCAGTTAAGATAACTAGGAGTTTAGTTCATCTGACACTGTAATTAATAATAATTACTGTTGGGTGCTACCAGTCACCTCTGCAACTCCAAGTTACTCCATGGTACAGTCTGTGTTCTCTAGCTCTGCCTGGTCCCAGGATGACATCATGGCTTCCACCTTGTCTATTACAGATTTGCATTCTTCTTTGATTAACTGCATCTACTAATTTATGTTTCTTTCATCATGGTGGAGTATGCTCATTTGTGGTAGCACAAGCTGAGAAGAATGCTTTCTTTATGGCATTTACACTTTTCCCCTAAATTTAGTTACCAGTCAGACTCTAAGCCTATGTATCCAGTTACTATTGAAGAATGCTGTCCCTCAGTAAAGTACAGGCAAATAAGGTTGATTTTTATACAGTATTTACAGTAAAATTATGGAATTCCTTATTCTAGCAATTGGTACCTAAATTTTAATGTAATTTTTTCCTTAAAATTTGCTTTTATTGTGGAAAATTTCAAATATATATAGACATACAGAGAATAGTATGGTAAACCTATATATACTATCATTTAGCTTCAACAGTTACCAACATGTGGCCAGTCTTTTTTTCTACTTTTAAATTCCATCTTTTATTTTAGACACGGGGGTACATGTGCAGACTTGTTTTTGTTTTGTTTTTGTTTGTTTGAGATAGAGTCTCATTCTGCCCGCCCAGGCTGGAGTGCAGTGGCATGATCTCAGCTCACTGCAGCCTCCACCTCCCATATTCAAGTGATTCTTATGCCTCAGCCTCCCAAGTAGCTGGGATTACAGGCAGGCACCACCACACCCAGCTAATTTTTGTATTTTTAATAGAGATGGGGCTTCACCATGTTGGCCAGGCTTGTCTTGAACTTCTTACCTCAGGTGATCCACCTGCCTCAACCTCCCAAAGTACTGGGATTACAGGCATGAACCACCGCACCAGGCCTTCATATGCAGATTTGTTACATGGGAGTATTGCGCCCAGGTAGGGAGCACGGTACTCAATAGGTAGCTTTTCAACCTGTGCCCCTCCCTGCTCCAGTACTCTGTAGTGTCTGTTGTTCCCATCTTTCTGTCCATGCGTACTCAATATTTAGCCCCCACTTATAAGTGAATACATGTGGTATTTGGTTTTCTGTTCTTATTTTAATTTGATTAGGATTATGGCCTCCAGCTCCATCTATGTTGCTGCCAAGGACATGATTTCATTCCTTTTTACGGCTACATAGTATTCCATGGTATATATGTACCACATTTTCTTTATCCAGTCCACCATTGATGGGCACCTAGGTTGATTCCATGTCTTTGCTATTGTGACTAGCATGGTGATGAACATACAAGTACATGTTTCCTTTAGGTATAATGATCTGTTTTCCTTTGGGTGTGTACCAGGCATAGGATTGCTGGGTCAAATGGTAGGTCTATTTTAAGTTCTTTGAGAATCAATCTCCAAACTGCTTTCTACATGACTGAACTAAGTTACATTCCTGCCAACAGTGTATAAGTGTTTCCTTCTCTCTGCAGCCTCACCAGCATCTGTTGTGTTTTGACTTTTTGTTTTTTGTTTCGTTTTGTTTTGTTTTGTTTTTTGAGATGGAGTCTCGCTCTATCGCCCAGGCTGGAGTGCAGTGGCACGATCTCGGCTCACTGCAAGCTCCACCTCCCAGATTCACGCCATTCTCCTGCCTCAGCCTCCCGAGTAGCTGGGACTACAGGCACCTGCCACCATGCCCGGCTAATATTTTTGTATTTTTAGTAGAGACAGGGTTTCACCGTGTTAGCCAGGATGATCTTAATCTCCCGATCCTCGTGATCTGCCTGCCTCGGCCGCCCAAAGTGCTGGGATTACAGGTGTGAGCCACCTCGGCTGGCCCTTGACTTTTTAATAATAGCTGTTTTGACTGGTGTGAGATGGTATCTCATTATAGTTTGATTTGCATTTCTCTGATGATGAGTGAAACGATGAGTAGTTTTTCATATGTTTTTTGGCCCACTCGTGTATCTTCTTTTGAGAAATGTCTGTTCATGTCCTTTGCCCATTTTTTAACAGAGTTGTTTTTTGCTTGTCGATTTATGTAAGTTCCTTATAGATTCTGCATATTAGACCTTTGTCAGATGCATAGTTTGCAAATATTTTCTCCCATTCTATAGGTTTTCTGTTTACTCTATTGACCATTTCTTTTGCTATGCAGAAGCTATTTAGTTTAATTAAGTCCCACTTGTCAATTTTTGTTTTTGTTACAGTTGCTTTGGGGGACTTAGCCAAAAATTCTTTGCCAATGCCAGTGTCAAAAAGGGTATTTTCTAAGCTTTCTTCTAGGATTTTTATAGTTTGAGGTCTTACATTTAAAATATTTAATCCATCTTGAGTTAATTTTTGTATATGGTGAAAGATAAGGGTCTAGTTTCATTCTTCTGCATATGGCTAGCCAGGTATTCCAGCATCATTTATTGAATAGGGAGTCTTTTCCCCATTGCTTGTTTTTGTCGCACATGGCCAATCTTGTTTTATCTGTATCCTGCCTCATGGCTCCCTACCCCGCACTGCCACCTTGAATTATGTTGAAGCAAAACCCAGATGTTATATCATTTCGTTTATAGTATACCTGTTTTTTGATGTAAGATACTATTATTAGTAGTAGTATTTTTTGAGACAGAATCTCACTCTGTCACCAGGCTGGAGTGCAGTGGCATGATCTCGGCTCACCACACCCTCCGCCTCCCAGGTTCAAGCGATTGTCCTGCCTCAGCCTCCCAAGTAGCTGGGACTAACAAGCGCATGCCACCACGCCTGGCAAATTTTTGTATTTTTAGTAGAGACGGGGTTTCAGCATGTTGGCCAGGATGGCCTCGATCTCTTGACTTTTTGATCTACCCCCCTCAGCCTCCCAAAGTGCTAGGATTACAGGCATGAGCCACTGTGCCCGGCCAGATACTATGTGTTTTAAGAGTAATGTCTTTACCTCATACAGCACTTAACCTGTAGTCAAATTTAGTCCTATCAGCTTTTTATAACTAATGGCTCATTAGTTTGGTGAGAAACCTCTCCGACATTTTTTCCTTCTATGTAAGTGTATAAATGTAAATACACATATAGTTATGTGTGCTTGTTATTTGTTCTTATTAAAAAGGGGAGGTAGGCCGGGCACGGTGGCTCACACCTGTAATCTTAGCATTTTGGGAGGCCAAGGTGTGAGGATCGCTTGAGCCCAGGAATTCAAGAACAGCCTAGGCAACATGGCAAAACCTCATCTCTACCAAAAAAAAAAAAAAAAAAAATTGCCCAAGCATGGTGATAGGCCCATTAGTCCCAGCTACTTGGGAGGCTGAGGTGGGAGGATCACTTGAGTCTGGGAGGTGGAGGTTGCAGTGAGCCAAGATTGCGCCACTATACTCCAGCCTGGGTGACAGAGCCATCTCAGAAAAGGGGGGGTGGGGTGGGTGGGTAGTACAAAACTTCCTTGTTCACTTATAAATAAATTATAGAAATCTTTCTTGATAAACGGAGATCTACTTTACTCTTTTTAACAGCTGTAGTGATCTACATCAGACGTGTCATAATTCTTTTTTTTCTTTTTTTTTTTTTTGAGACAGAGTTTCGCTCTTGTTGCCCAGGCTGGAGTGCAATGACGCGATCTCAGCTCACTGTAGCCTCCACCTCCCGGGTTCAAGCGATTCTCCTGCCCCAGCCTCTGGAGTAGCTGGGATTACAGGCACGCACCACCATGCCTGGCTAATTTTTATACTTTTAGTGAAGACAGAGTTTCACCATGTTGGTCAGGCTGGTCTCAAACTCCTGACCTCAGTTGATCCACCCGCCTCAGCTTCCCAAATTGCTGGGATTACAGGCATGAGCCACCACGCCCAGCCTATGTCATAATTTTTTAAACCAATCCCCTTTAGTAAAAGTTTCTTTTTGTGTTTTCTATTGCAAACAGAGCTGTACAAACAACATTGTATATCATCTTTGCATGCTTATGGATTTCTGTAGGATGGGTTTAGAAAAGGAATTACAGGATCATGCATCTTTGAGGGAAAAAATTGATCTTTTAAGAATGGCTCTACCATGTTGTTCCACACTTGTAGCTTTGCTCTAATCTGTGCTCAAATGCTGATGAATGTAGATTTGTGGATTACACTAGGTGAGCAGTTGTTTCCATTTAATGCTTGAGGAAAACTGGGAACAGTATATTGTTCTGAAAACCTAAAAAGTTTAAGTGAGTGTGTTAGAATACTGGACAATGAGAGCCTTTATGTGTAATTGACATCTCTAAGACCTCTCAGAAGTGAGAGAACCAATGAGAGAGACTGTTGCCAGGCTACAAACTCCAGCAGAAGGCAGAAGAGATGGGTAGACAGGCGGGGGTGTTGGGCTATCTGTAAAGGACAATATAATAACAGTAATAATCCTTTACATTTGTACAGCAGGTTAGATTTTACACTGGGCTTTTACATCCATTTTCTAATTTAAGCTGCACAATAACTCTATACAAAAATCTGAGCAGCCAAAAATATACCATAGAATTTCTGTGGGTGGACATTCTGGATTCTGAAATAACAAAAATGTGGGAATAGTGTTAGCCTATACTGGACAAGACCCACTGACTGAATCAAAATGCTAGGTAAGACCAAGGAAGGTGCAGAAGTAGACTAGATGTCCTCACCAGGCTGAAGCAGTAGACAGTTTCCATTAGCCACGTGCTGATTAGCATCTCCCCAAGAATGTGGAATGCATTAGTGCCAAGCTGGCTATGTGAGAGCCTCATGGAGAACTTGTGAATATGCAGATTCCCTGATCTTACCCCCAGAGATTCTGATTCAGTGGGTTTGAGGTCAGTCCTAGAAATTATGCATTTTAACAAGCTTTCCTAGTGATGCTGATAGGCAACCAAGTTTGCAAAGCACTGTTATTGAAGTCTCTGAGAACTGCAGCTAGAGATTTTTACACTATGGGTCTATAGTCAAATGAGACTACTTAACACGCAAGTCAGTGGACCTGGGTTGAGAAAAAGAAGACTAACCAATCTAGTACTCAAGTGAATTAGTGCTTTGACAAAGAAGGAGCTTCCTATGAATGTAATTTCTAAAGACTTGAAATATATATATATCTACATTTACGAAGTCCCAAACCAAAGGGTGTTTTAAAATATTGTGAATTGGCATTGAGGTATGTGTTGGTGTGGACAGAGTCCTGGCCTAGAGAGGCCCCTTTTTCTAGAGTGGACCAAACCGTGAACTTAAAGCCAGAGGACCCTGAGTAGGGGTCCATCTTAATTGTGTCCCAATGTATGAACTGAGACATAGGACCTCATCTTTCTGAGCTTCACTTTCCTCCCTCTGAAAAATGGCCATGATATTCTCATTTCCCTGTGTCTGCTATTCCCATCTATCCTTCTCTTGTAGCCTCTCCGTCTGAGCTAGCACCAGCCTCTGACTGAATTCCTCCTCCTTTCTCAATCTTTTTTTTAATATTCCCAGATTGCTCACAGAAGCCAAGAATGTAAGCTTTTGTGTAAGTGCATATGTTTGCAGGAGTAATTGTGATATATTTGGGAGGCATACATAGGTGTACAAAATATGCATACGCACATGAGCTTCCCGCTTACTGTTCCCACCGGGAGAATTCTGAACCTTTCATTGTTTATTTTCTATCGTCTCTTTTTCTTCCCTGGAAAATGGGTTTATGAACTAGCCTTGAAACCAAGCACTTAAAGTAACCCACAAAAATGTCCACCAGCCTGTTCACATTCACACATGCCCTTTCATGCCACAGCATTTTTACTTTTCTCTAATGTTCCTGTTGCCTTTGCCTTAACTCTATAATCACGTTGACTGTTATATTGCTCTTTTCCCTGGAAGCTGAAATGTTGTAAAGTACAAAGTAAAGAAAATGGAAATAGGGAATTGGTACCCAGCTGTCGTGAAGATTGAGATTTCAGACTTTTCTCTACATCCGTAACTAAGTGGATATTTAACCAGATGAAGACAAAAACGAACTCGGGGATTTTCCCTACTGAATGTTGTCTGTAAATGCACCATGTTAAAAATGAAAACTAATAATAACCCCCTTTTCCATTCCTTTGTAGTGAAAACCTTGTTCAATCCAGCCCCTGCCATTGCTGACCTGGATCCCCAGTTCTACACCCTCTCAGATGTGTTCTGCTGCAATGAAAGTGAGGTAAGGGTGAATTGCTTTGCTCATTCTATGAGAAACCAAAAGTTTGTACAAGTGGATAAAGCAAAGGGGCAGAACTAACCACATCAATTTGATGACGTGAATTCTCAGGCATGGTGAAAACAGATTTTTTCAGTTTACCGGGGTGTGGAGAAAAGGAAATTAGTAAATCCTAGGGGGGAAAAAAGGATTCTCTGAGTCACTTCCATATTCTGGCACTTATCAAACCTCAGTTAATTTTAGTCCCTTCCTTGCCCTCACACTGTTGGTGTTTTGTTTTCTTTTCTAATTATTTCATGTTCTGAGGACTATATTAAAGTTGCCAGGTTTAGCAAGTAAAAATGCAGGATGCCCAGTTAAATTTGAATTTCAGATAGATAATAAATAACATACCTAACAAATTTATACTGTAAAATTACCTGTCATTTATCTTAAATTCAAATTTAACTGAGCTTCCTGTAGTTTGTCTGCCAAACGCTAATTAGTATACAACTCCTGGAAGATCTGCTACATTCTGTAGTGAAGACCCTGTGTCATGATGTATCATCTGAACAGACTATCTATCAACTGGTACAATAAGAAAGGATATTGTACCACCCTTTCTTAAATATTGTTGGGAAGAAAATTTCAATATTTCTCCCTTTTTATAAGCCAGACAGCATTAGAACAGAGCTCTCGCCCATCAATGGGATGCAGGTATACACGTTAGTAAAGGCAACATGGAGAGAAAGAAATTAATGAACCATAATAGTTAAATTTCTACTTTTTGTTTTTGAGACAGGAACTCACTGTTTCACCCAGGTTGGAATGCAGTGGTGTCATCATGGCTCACTGCAGCCTCTACCTCCCAGGTTTAAGCAATCCTCCCACCTCAACCTCCCAAGTAGCTGGGACCACCACGCTTGGCTAATTTTTTTATTTTGTGTAGAGACGGGATTTCGCCATGTTGCCTAGGCTAATCTCGAACTCCTGGGCTAAATCAAGCCTCCCAAAGTACTGGGATTACAAGTGTGAGCCACTGTACCCAGCCTAATTTTCCATTTGGTTTAAAGTCTATATGAAGGCTTTTAGGATTTCTTGACCTGCTTTCTTGATAATTTCATCTCTCAAAACATAGAGGAAACAAGAAAGAAGACTGCTACAAAGAAACTAATTTTAACAAACCACAATAGGTTATGCAATATTTTTGAGCAACCACCATGCTAGGAAGAAGGAATTGTGGGAAATAGCGATCATTTCACAATAAGAGGTTAGAGTACCCTCAACTGCCAAACTGGCCTAAATTTTCCTGCTAGATACTTGAAGAGCACTCTATTTATTCCTCAAATGTTCATCACAGCTCAAATTACTTATTCAATTCTTCTGTCTTCTCCATTAAATTACAAGTTCCATGAGGTCAGAGACATCTGTCTTATTCACTGTTGTATCCCTGATGGCTATCCCTGTGTATATAGTTATCTATTGCTGCATAATAAAATACCTCCAAAATGTACTGGCTTACAACAGCAATAATTATTTATTGTCACTCTCAGTTTTTGCATGTCAGGAATTCACACAGGGGATAGCATGGTTTGACTCTCCCACGCGATGCCTGGGGCTTCAGTTGGAAGACGCAAAGGCTGAGAGCTGGAACTTTTCTTCATTCACCTGCTTGACAGTTGATGCTGGCTTTCAGCTGGGGGCATAATGAGGTTGTTGGCCAGAACATGTAAACATGGCCTCTACGTGTGACTTGGGCTTCCTCATAATATGGTAGCTGGGTTTCAAGATCCAGCTTCCCGTGAGAAGGAGACACAGAAGCCATGTTGGCTTTTATGAGTTAGCTTCGGAAGTAACACGGCATCACTTCTGACTCATTCTATTGATTTAAGCAGGAAGGTCCACCCTAGTACCCCACCCCTTACTAGAAGATTGTCATTGGCACAGTGTAAAACCAGGATGTGTGATATGATATAGGTTAATACAGTTATCTTTGGAAAATAACATCTGCTACACTGTACCTGCACATAGCTGGCACTTAGTAAATGCTTATGAAATAAATAAATGAAAGAACTCTGGTCTTTAAGGAAACTGGTCTCAGAAACTTAATGGAAGAAAGAAAAACATTAAAAGCTTAATGTTCTGGAGCCAGGCGCGGTGGCTAACGCCTGTAATCCCAGCACTTTGGGAGGCCAAGGTGGGCAGATCATGAGGTCAGGAGTTCAAGACCAGCCTGGCCAACATGGTGAAACCCCGTCTCTACTAAAAATACAAAAATTAGCTGGGCATGGTGGCACGTGCCTGTAAGCCCAGCTACTCAGGAGGCTGAGGCAGGAGAATTGCTTGAACCAGGACCTGGGAGGTGGAGGTTGCAGTGAGCCAAGATCAGGCGGCTGCACTCCAGCCTGGGCTACAGGGAGACTCTGTCTCAAAAAAAAAAAGCTTAATGTTCTTATAGATGAACTCTAATCACAGCAATAATGTAAATTCATGCTTATGATACTCACTCTGCTCCAAACACAAACCACTGATATGTAAATACTAATGGACACAATGAAAAGATACTTACAAGCTCTAAAACAAGATAAATAACTCCACAGATCAGAAATGGAACAGCCTCACAGAGCATTCAGCCCTTGATATGCTGGCTGTACACTAGCCCCAGAAACAGGCAGAAGTGGCAGGAAGTTCACCCGCTGTGGGTCATGGATACTAAAAGTGTGCCATTTATAGCGGACTGGAGCCGAGCCCACAGATGGAAACCATACATGCTAGGCTGTGGCTCCCCTGCTAACAGTGAAAGGGGGAGGAACCTGCTACCCCTGCTGCCTGAAGCATATTTAAGGCCCCCAAACTGAGGAGTTAGCAGGACAGAGACACAGCCTCTGACCAAGAAGTAAACCAAGCCAACCACTGACTTAGTGACTGGACTGGCAGTAGCCCCAGAAACAGCAGAGCAAGAACTCCCTATTGCCAATATAATACCTGGTTTTGGTTTAGAGACTCTTGTGTACCTGGGGGAAGCTACTGTAAAACCACTGAGGGCTGGGCGTGGTGGCTCACGCCTGTAATCCCAGCACTTTGGGAGGCCAAGGCAGGTGGATCACGAGGTCAGGAGATCGAGACCATCCTGGTCAACATGGTGAAAACCCATCTCTACTAAAAATACAAAAATTAGCCAGGTGTGGTGGCATGCACCTGTAGTCCCAGCTACTCAGGAGGCTGAAGCAGGAGAATCGTGTGAACCTGGGAGGCACAGGTTGCAGTGAGCCGAGATCTCCCCACTGCACTTCAGCCTGGGTGACAGAGCAAGACTCTTGTCTCAAAAAAAAAAAAAAAAAAAAAACACTGAAAAGCAGGGATCAACCAGGTGGGAACTGATGTGTGACAGCTTTCCAACTCACAGTAAGTAAAGTGAGCCTGCAAATGAAAAACATAATGCTACAAAATTCACCCAGCACAATCAACAACCTACAGATGAATTTGCCCAAGATGAAATTCATATAATAAAATTCAGCCAGGCGTGGTGGCTCATACCTGTAATCCCAGTGCTTTGGGAGGCCAAAGCAGTTGAATCACATGAACCCAGGAGTTTGAGACCAGCCTGCGGAACATAATGAGACTTCATCCTGTCTCTACAAAAATAAAAGATTAGCTGTGTGTGGTGGTGCATGCCTGGAGTCCCAGTATTTGGGAGGCTGAGGCAAAAGGATTGCTTGAGCTTAAGAGTTTGAGGCTGTAGTGAGCTATGATCATGCCACAGCACTCCAGCTGGAGTAATAGAGCAAGATACTATCTCTAAATAAATAAACAATGCAAAAAATACTTTAAATAGTATAATTAAGATTAACATTCATTATGAAAGAAGAAAAAATTTTGTGAAAGAAAAACAGAATCAAAGCAACAACATGTGAATATGAAAAACAACCAATTAGAAGTCTTGAAAACCTAAAAAGTCATGGAAATGTTTTTAAATCACTCAGTAGAAAAATAAACATTAGAATGGAATGAAAAATTAGTATATTGAAAGAGAAATTGGGAGAAAAATATGGATCTTGTTGAAAGCCCCCTGATTTTACAGATTGTAATTGGTGTGGGGAAGGTCACAGACTGAATGAGTAGGAGAGGCCTCCTGAATGCCAGGGCATTGCGTTTTCTGCTACCTGTCATTACCTCTCCTAATCTGCTTCCATCTTCTCTGGCAAAAACAAACAAAAGAAATAAGTAGTCTGCAAACATGGAAAGCAAAAACTGGAAATTTGAGAAGAGGCATTATGGCCCAAGAGAGGCTTGGAAGAATTATGTCCTTAGGTGCCAAACTTACAGGTGCAATTTATGCTAAAATTCTTGGCAGTGGCCCTTTCCTTTCTCCTTTCCTGCCTCCCCTCCAACCTTCCTTTTTCTTTTTTTTTTGGTAGACTTCTCTTTGTTGCCCCAACTCTTTGTTAAAATTATTATATGTGCAGAAAAGCTGAATGAACACTCTACATTTCACCTAAACATTTGCTAACATTTTGCTGTATTTGCTTTTCCTCTTCCCTGTATGTATTTAGTTTTGTTTTTGTTGAAAAGTAAGTGGAAAAAAAAGTATTTTGTTGTTGAGAATAAGTTGCAGACAACATGATGCCTCACCCCAAATACTTCGGCATACATCTCCTAAGAGGAAACACAATACCATTATCACACCTAGGAAGATTGTCAGTAATTCCATGCTATCATCTAATATCCAAGCCACATTCAAATTTCCCCAGTTGTCCCCAGAATGTCTTTCATTGATGGTTTTTGTCATCACTGTTATTGCTTTATTTATTTTCCTGTACCAGTATCTATCAAGGTTCCCATTGCATTGGTTGTTATAAAAAAGAAGGGAGACATTTTCTAGAAAAACGCATCTGGAAGTGGATTCAGGTTACTTATTTTCACCACTGTTTCTGTTGACTTTTGTGTATTCTAGGCTGAGATTTTAACTGGCCTCACGGTGGGCAGCGCTGCAGATGCTGGGGAGGCTGCATTAGTGCTCTTGAAAAGGGGCTGCCAGGTGGTAATCATTACCTTAGGGGCTGAAGGATGTGTGGTGCTGTCACAGACAGAACCTGAGCCAAAGCACATTCCCACAGAGAAAGTCAAGGCTGTGGATACCACGGTAAGTTTTAAAATTTAAGAATCATGTTTAGCCTTTGAAAATTGTTACTTAGTAACTAATTAGATGCTGTACCTGAATTTTTGGATAATGAAACAAAGCCCTAGTAAGTGATATGGTAAAAGAGAAGAACAACCAGGCAGGGGAACTGTATTTTAATCCCTCTCTAACTCTCTGTGGGACTTTATGCAAGCAGCTTGACCTCTCTGAGACGTAGTTTCCTCATTCATAAAATCAGAATAGCAGTAAAATTATACCTGTGTTACCTGTATTCATTCATTTATCCAGTCATTCATCAACAAATAGGGATTTGTGGAATACCTATCATGTCCCAGTCATATGATAGTTGCTGGGGATATAGCAATAAATAAGGCAAAGTCTCTGCCCTTGTCGGGCTTAGATTCTAGGCAGTGAACAAGTAGCTGTGTCTTACAAGCTTCTCCAGTGAAATGAACAGCAAGGAGCACTGGTTAGCAGAGATCATTCTTTTAACCAACAAATTCTAGCAGCTAACATTTACTGCATGCTTGCTGTGTCTCTTTTGCATACATCTCATTTAATCTTTTTTTTCATTTAATCTTTAAACAATTCTGTGAGACAAGTATTATTTCCATTTTACAGAAGAAGAAATTTGTACAGGATCACATTGCTGGTAGGTAACAGAGCTGGAGATTCGAAACTAGGCATATGGACTCCACACAGACATTTTTTATGTAAGGTACTGTGCTGAGGACAAGTGTGCTAAGTGAACAAGCCATGGCTACAGAGTAGGAATGAAAAGGAAACAAGTTAGAAAAAAGACTCATGGTTCCCCTAAAGCTGGGGAAACACAAATTGTTTGTTTATTGTTAGAATTCAGAAGAGCTTGCCAGGCGCCACTTCACACTTGTAGTCCCAGCACTTTGGGAGGCTGAGGTGGGCGGATCATGAGGTCAAGAGATCGAGAACATCCTGGCCAACATGGTGAAACCCCATTCTACTAAAGATACAAAACTTAGCTGGGCATGGTGGTGCACACCTGTAGTCTCAGCTACTTGGGGGGCTGAGGCAGGAAAATCACTTGAACCTGGGAGGCAGAGGTTGCAGTGAGCCAAGATTGCACCACTGCACTCTAGCCTGGCAATAGAGCGAGAGTCCGTCTCAAAAAAAAAAAAAAGAAAAGAAAAACAGATTCAGGAGAGCTGACTAGAAAAGTAAG